>NC_000012.12:110338915-110490431 GCF_000001405.40 Homo sapiens
ACTTCCGTTCTCTGCCTGGTGGGTCTTCACCACCACCCACTGGGTTCACACACATCTTTTCAGGCCCCATGGGGCCATCTTTATTCAAATGTCACCGCCTTCTGGCCACTTTATGTAACAGTTCATATGTATGTATGCAAATTTTCTATCCCCCTTCCCTTTTTCTCTATAGCACTTGTGTTACTTTTGCATCTTAGTCTGTCTCTCCCAAAATAGGGGACAAGTTTCATGAGGGCAAAAACCTGTCTGTTTTGTTTATTGCTATATTCCTAGCATCTGTCATGTAATAGGTGTGCTTACTGCTTGTTAGGTAAAAAAGTTCAGAAATTGCCACCCAGTAGTATCCATATTTGTTCCCTTTGTAGGTCATTAAACAGCTGATGAAAAAGGAATTCACTCTAGAGTTTTCACGTGACAGAAAGTCAATGTCGGTTTACTGTACACCAAATAAACCAAGCAGGACATCAATGAGCAAGATGTTTGTGAAGGCAAGTATGGCAGATTGCAATTGAGATGTTCTTGCCAGGGTTAAGATCCCGGTGAACCAATAAAACAAAATTGTTTATCTAAATCTGTAACATTTCCAGGGTGCTCCTGAAGGTGTCATTGACAGGTGCACCCACATTCGAGTTGGAAGTACTAAGGTTCCTATGACCTCTGGAGTCAAACAGAAGATCATGTCTGTCATTCGAGAGTGGGGTAGTGGCAGCGACACACTGCGATGCCTGGCCCTGGCCACTCATGACAACCCACTGAGAAGAGAAGAAATGCACCTTGAGGACTCTGCCAACTTTATTAAATATGAGGTTAGCTAATGAAAAGTTTCTTTGTCCACACCCTGCACGATTCATTGTGTTTAAACAGTACTCCTTCAAGCAAAAGGTCAAACAGTTCTCACTTTTGCCAAGAAAGAGGTGTGGTTATTTGTTTTTCTGCCTGCCAGCTGTGTCACCCTTAAAATTTGCTGCTTCAAACATACATAGTTAATAATTTCATAAAAGTGTTATTTTCAAAGTAGAATATTTTCAAAGTAGAATAATCAAGATGAGCTTAAGCTTGTAAACCCCATTTTGCCTCTCATCTAAATCATGATTTTTTTTAAATTGGTGACATTTCTAGAATATTCATTAGTTACTGAAGGTCAAAAGATCCAAGTTGGAGATTACTTCCACTTTTCTACTCAGAGTAGAATTCTTTTATATCAAGGATGTGACATCCTAAAGCTATGAACAAAATGAAGAAGCTTTGGTACTGTGGGCTCAGAATAGCACAAGAGTTAAAGAATGGTTTGATAACGGGTGTAGTGGTATTTTTTTTTCTCATAAGAAAATGCAAAAACCGCCAGGCACGGTGGCTCAAATGCCTGTAATCTCAGCACTTTGGGAGGCCGAGGCTGGCAGATCACCTGGGGTTGGGGGTTTGAGACCAGCCTGACCAACATGGAGAAACCACATCTCTACTAAAAATACAAAATTAGCCAGGTGTGGTGGCGCATACCTGTAGTCCCAGCTACCCTGGAGGCTGAGGCAGAAGAGTCTCTTGAACCTGGGAGGCGGAGGTCGCAGTGAGCTGAGATTGCGCCATGGCACTCCAGCCTGGGCAACAAGAGCGAAACTCCGCCTCAAAAAAAAAAAAAGAAAAAAAATGCAGAAACCTGTCTCAATGTTTAACTGGGCATTTTTCAAACTAGGGGACAAAAACTAGAACTTGCCACTTTTATTTAAAGTGATGCTCTTATTTTAGACCAATCTGACCTTCGTTGGCTGCGTGGGCATGCTGGATCCTCCGAGAATCGAGGTGGCCTCCTCCGTGAAGCTGTGCCGGCAAGCAGGCATCCGGGTCATCATGATCACTGGGGACAACAAGGGCACTGCTGTGGCCATCTGTCGCCGCATCGGCATCTTCGGGCAGGATGAGGACGTGACGTCAAAAGCTTTCACAGGCCGGGAGTTTGATGAACTCAACCCCTCCGCCCAGCGAGACGCCTGCCTGAACGCCCGCTGTTTTGCTCGAGTTGAACCCTCCCACAAGTCTAAAATCGTAGAATTTCTTCAGTCTTTTGATGAGATTACAGCTATGGTGAGCATGTTTGAACATGTACAGGTGACTCAGGCTACACAAGCACATAGTAGCCTCTAATTTTGACCACTGAATTTTTTTGTCATAGCTCCCTAATTTGGAATTTGTCATGATTTGGGTCTTTTCTCTAGAATTCGGTGAATCAGTGGTTAGCATGTTGTGTGCTACTTGCAGGGAAGATCCTAGAGTCGTTTAAAACCCAGAAGGGCCTTCCAGATCAGTCCCAGAGGAACAATCTGGTGATCTAGTCTCTTTTTTAAATGAGACGTGTTTTTATTGTAAGTTTTCTGAAAATTGAGGATGTAATCAGTCAGTTGTTTGGATCACCCTGCTTTTAAGTTCTTTAAGAGCTGGCTATTGATGAAGCATTTCCAGTATTCTTCCCCTCACCTGATTTTCACCCAGATACATTATGTTAAATTTACTTTCTTCTCTTTTAAAAAAAAATCTTAGTTTTGAAACATACTATAAGTGTACTCTCCTCTCCCCCAGAGGTAACTGAAGTTGGAATTTAGCAAAAATATTAAAAACATGGGAGTGCTGTTTTTGTGTCTGTAGACAGTATTATTTTTGCATGCTTTTGAAGGCATATTTTTTGGCCGAGTGCAGTGGCTCATGCCTGTAACCCCAACACTTGGGAGGCCGAGGCAGGTGAATCACTTGGGGTCAGGAGTTCAAGACCAGCCTGGCCAACATGGTGAAACCCCGTCTGTACTAAAAATACAAAAAATTGCTGGGTGTGGTGGTGGGCGCCTGTAATCCCAGCTACTCGGGAGATTGAGGCAGGAGAATCGCTTGAACCCAGGAGGCGTGCAGTGAGCCGAGACTGCGCCACTGCACTACAGCCTGGGCGACAGAGCGGGACTCCATCTCAGAAAAATAAAAATTTGCATATTTTTGCAATCTGCATCTTTCTACTTGAAATTTATCCATGTGGATACAAGTGCTTCCTCTTGACTGCCACATAGGTTGTGTTTTTGTTTTTAGTAAGATAATACAGATAAATTTGAAGTCCCCTTTGTCCCACTTCGGTAAACTTATTTGGTAATTTTACATTTCCTAGGTAAAATGTGTTTTGTGACACCAACTTATGAAACAAAAATTCTAAAACTCTTTGCCAAGAGACCTACGGCTCTATTCATTTTCCTCCTGCTTCCCATTCAGTGGGCTTTTGCCTAGGGGTATGAATGTGGCATGCCAGTTGGCTGACCCAACCATTGCTTTCCCTTTCAGACTGGCGATGGCGTGAACGATGCTCCTGCTCTGAAGAAAGCCGAGATTGGCATTGCTATGGGCTCTGGCACTGCGGTGGCTAAAACCGCCTCTGAGATGGTCCTGGCGGATGACAACTTCTCCACCATTGTGGCTGCCGTTGAGGAGGGGCGGGCAATCTACAACAACATGAAACAGTTCATCCGCTACCTCATCTCGTCCAACGTCGGGGAAGTTGTCTGGTAGGTCTCTGTGACAGCATCACTTACTGTACGCCTTTATCTAAATGGGTCATGGAGCCCAGTTCTCGCAGTTTGCTCTCCAGATTGCAGCAGCTTTGGTCTTTGTGCCTGAGTTGGAAGAGGGGAGTGGGCAAGACAGAAATGCCTTATGGAAGCAGTGGTGCTTTGGCCCTCGGGAGGGTTGTCTGCAGCTGCCCCAATGTGCAAAGAATCCTCTTTAACGTGAGACTGAGCTAACATTAACCAGGTAGTCACATGAAATTCTTGCCCTCCAAAAGTTGGCTTTATCTCAGTCAGCTTAATAATTTTTTTATTTTTATTTATTTTTTTGAGACAGTCTCGCTGTCGCCCAGGCTTCGGGCAGTGGCACGATCTCAGCTCACTGTCCCCTCCACCTCCTGGGTTCAAGCCTCCCGAACAGCTGGGATTACAGGCATGCGCCACCACTCCCTGCCATTTTTTTGTGTTTTAGTAGAAATGAGGTTTCACCATGTTGCCCAGGCTGGTCTCTTAACTGCTGAGCTCAGCCAGTCTGCCCACCTTGGCTTCCCAAAGTGCTGGGATTACAGGCATAAGCCACCGCACCTGGCCTCAGTCATCTGAATTTAAGTAATAAACTAAGTAAAATTGAGCTTTAATTCAAAATTGGGTATAAGTATTTTACAGATTACCTGAAGTTGTTGTCATTTATTTTTCTGGAGGAGGGCGGGTTGATGATGCTCTTTAAATAGTGGCCAGAAGTCATTTGGGCTCTCTTTGTCTTCTTTTCTTGATTGGAAACAGTATTTTCCTGACAGCAGCCCTTGGATTTCCCGAGGCTTTGATTCCTGTTCAGCTGCTCTGGGTCAATCTGGTGACAGATGGCCTGCCTGCCACTGCACTGGGGTTCAACCCTCCTGATCTGGACATCATGAATAAACCTCCCCGGAACCCAAAGGAACCATTGATCAGCGGGTGGCTCTTTTTCCGTTACTTGGCTATTGGCTGTGAGTACAATTTTTTTATATTACTGATTTTTAAACAAAATGTTTGTGAGCTGAAATTTTGTAAATTCATCCCTTAAAAGCGTGTTTTTTCTTCTATCCCCGTATAGGGTAGCAAAAGACAGAGATGCCCTCTTACAGTTCGATGAACTATACATCCAATTTACCAGAGTCCTTTCACAGTTAGTTCCAGTTTTAGCATCCTGCCCTTACTTGGGCTTTTCTGAATGAGCAATTAAACATCAGGGTTTTCAGATTGAGCCCTCTGTGCAAAGGGATAAGAATGATTCACGCTAGGTTCTGCCTTCCAAGAGTTCATAGGTGGGATTTAAATAGATAATTGTCACCAAGTTATAAAATTTAGTCCCTGTTTCCATAAGAGAAGGGTTGCGCAGTGGCTGGTCCCTTTTATATATAAATCATCTCTTTAGCCCTCATCTTCCTCACCCCGGGTTCTTCCCCATTTCATAGATTGGGAAAGTGAGGTGAAATCACTTCCCTGGGATCCCATAGGAAGGCATTGTGTTTTCATAATATATTCACATGACTTCAAATTCAAAAAGCACACAATGGCATAGAATGGAAAGGGTTTGGGCCAGTCACTTCCCTCTGGCGTTGAGGTGCTCATGTACCCTGTGCCCTTCCGGAGAGATTCCAGCATGCTGTGCACACCTGCATGTTGACCCTTGTCTTGCCTTCTTCCTGCTTGTCAGATCCTTCCATATCCGGACATGCGTAGTGCCTCATCCTTGCAGCCAGCGGCCTTCATGCTCCACTGTAATTCGTGGGTTAGTGGGTATATGCACTTGTTGTTTTTGATGCTACCACATGGGGATATTTGCCTCGTCTGAACTCTGTGTATTCTCTGCTGCACCTTGTTGCTTCTTTGCAATAAACTTCCTGAACTCAAAGCTAATACTGGGGGGAATCCCAGAAGCTGCTGAGGGCAGGGCCATGCTGCTCAGTGTTCCACCCTAGCTCCTGACAGCATTTCCCTAGAAAACTGCTGCTGGGCCTCTAATGGAGCAAATAAATCTGTGTACAACTAGGCAGCAATAGTTTGTCCAAAAGTCCTGGTGTAATCTAGTCCCTCAAACTGTGCAGCCTTACATGGAGTACACACACACTTGCAGCCTTGAAGTACTACCCACTGAGGGGAGAAGGCACGGCAAGGGGAAAGGTTGGCACAGGATGGAGCAAGTGCTTTTTCTCACACATTCTGGAGGAAAAGTTATCCAGTTCTTCTGTTCTAGAAACACCCCTGTCCTTCAGAAACCAGGGTCTAGTTGCTCTGGCTACCAGGCGTGAGCAGGTGGTGGTAGCACCACAGGCCCCGGTTACCATCACTGTCCCATGTCTTTGATCTTCGTCCTTGTGGGGACTGGCCTGCATGGCCTCGGTGGCAGCGAGCCCTGCAGAGGCAAGTGCATCAGCATCACTGTGTTTGTTCCCAGGTTACGTCGGCGCTGCTACCGTGGGTGCTGCTGCATGGTGGTTCATTGCTGCTGACGGTGGTCCAAGAGTGTCCTTCTACCAGCTGGTACTCAGTCACCTTTCTTTCTGTACCTTACATGAGAAGTGTTGTGAGGCCTTGACCTTTCTGTGGTTTCGGTATCTATCAAATCATCTTAAGACTCAGACAATAAACAGTTACATCTAAGATGATTCTGAAGGACCAGGGCTTCTCCGAGAAATTGGGGTAAACCTCTTGGCTGGCTCTGCATTCAGGCTGGTCTGTGCTAGGCTTGGTATGGGGTTGGAGCCTGGACTTGGGAAATATACTGGGCTGATAGGAATTTGATTGGATTTTCTTGCAGAGTCATTTCCTACAGTGTAAAGAGGACAACCCGGACTTTGAAGGCGTGGATTGTGCAATCTTTGAATCCCCATACCCGATGACAATGGCGCTCTCTGTTCTAGTAACTATAGAAATGTGTAACGCCCTCAACAGGTTAGTGCACCTTCACGGCAGGCTGAGGCGAGCATGGTGACTGCCAGGGCACCGGGGAATTGTGTGTAGTCACGGTTGATTGAGGATCACAGGACAGTTCTTCCCTTCCCAAAAGAAAGGAGAACAGGCAATACCAGTTTTAAAAGCATGAGCTGTCGTCACCTCCAGGAAGTAGTGGGAGTGCTTAGCCCTGTGTTTCTTAGGAGCTCTTCCTTAAAAGAAACCGTGGGGGCCAAAAATAGGAACTTTGGTACCCCTGTATGCCAGCACCCACAGGGAAGGAACCTCACCCTTTCACACAGACAAATGGTACCATCCAGTTAAGCCCGTGACAAAAATGGAAATTTCTAAATAGCCCAAGTCTCCAGGGCAATTGGGAACAGCTTTGAACCCACTAAGATGGGGTCTGCTATGCCAAAACATAGATACAGAATTCACAGTTTGTCCTGCATTAGGACATTCTCTTCAACTTTGCCACTGTAGAAAGTGGAGGTAGGTCAGCGGATGGTGCCACATTAACAGCCGCCTTACTGAAGTGTAGTCCAACAGGGTCTTACTGCCACTGTGACACGTGCCTTGCCTTGGGGGTGCGTTTCCCCACCTCTCCTTGCTCTGCAGCTTGTCCGAAAACCAGTCCTTGCTGAGGATGCCCCCCTGGGAGAACATCTGGCTCGTGGGCTCCATCTGCCTGTCCATGTCACTCCACTTCCTGATCCTCTATGTCGAACCCTTGCCAGTAAGTGGTTGGGTGGGGCTTGGGACCAGCCACCTCCTTCCAGGGGAGGCTGGAGGCGTGACACGTCTTCCCTGTGTGTCAGCTCATCTTCCAGATCACACCGCTGAACGTGACCCAGTGGCTGATGGTGCTGAAAATCTCCTTGCCCGTGATTCTCATGGATGAGACGCTCAAGTTTGTGGCCCGCAACTACCTGGAACCTGGTAAAGAGTGTGTGCAGCCTGCCACCAAATCCTGCTCGTTCTCGGCATGCACCGATGGGATTTCCTGGCCGTTTGTGCTGCTCATAATGCCCCTGGTGATCTGGGTCTATAGCACAGACACTAACTTTAGCGATATGTTCTGGTCTTGACTGACAGTTTTCCATAAAGAAGATGTTTAACTTAATCAATTAATTTTTTTATTGTTTAAAGCAACTGTCTATTTCTGCTGAATTTTCACATGAACATACTGGCTGGTGATGGAGGTTTCATACTCTAGATTTTGTTTTGCTTTTTCTGACTCCAGTGGGGCAAGATTTTCCTTTTTTATACACATAATTAAAGTGTCCATTGACATGTACAGAGAACTAACACTATTTTATGCAAATATTTTTTTGTAGATGAAAAAGCATGTACAGTGTTCTGTTTAATACTCATCCTTGTATAAAAAAAATAGTTGAGCCAGCAGACATTGTCAGCAAATTAATTGGCAGCAGATTTTAGGAAATGAATGTGTGTGGTTTTTTTTCTAAAACTAAATAGCATGTATTGTGTCTTTTGCATGATGATCCGGATTTAATTTGATATCACAGTCTAATTTTTATTCATAAGCCAATTTTTCTGCACTGAGCAGAGTCTTGCTACCTCAGTCAGTATTGTTTTGGTTTGCTACTTCCCTCACCCACTTTGGCCTCCGTTCACCCCACCCCACCCCACCTCTCCCCACCTTACCCCCGCCCCGCTTGGCTTCTTCTTTAGGATTGTGATGGTTCGTTCTGTTTACATCAGTTTTAACGAGAGGTATGCCTGTACTCGCTTGTGCAGAAAACATTGTTCCAGATTCAATCGACTGGGTTTATGTCCCTTCACATAGTTTTTAAGGTTATTTATTTAAATGTCTAATGTATTTTATTGTAACAGACATTGTTTTGCCAACATTGCCTATTTCAGTGGCACGTCATCTAGTTTTAAAAAAATAAAACATTTTAAATGGACAGAGAAAAATAACTGTCTTGTCTTTAACTCGTAAGTGGCTTACCTGGGACTAACAGACATGTCCAACTTTCTCTCCAGTTCTTAGCTCAGAACTTTAGTTGTACTCTGCTTGAGGGGAAGAAGGCTCCTGCTCTGCTGTGTAGGTAGTCATAGGAATTGTATTCTTAATGTACAGGCACTAATTGTCATCTGTGATGTACATTTTATGCAAGTTTCTGCTGGCCTGGTATAGAGAACATAAGGGCAAGTGTGTATGTGTGTGTATGTGTGTGTTTTGTAAAATCTGTAAATAGCACATGACCAAATGAACATATTGTATAGAACTATTTTTATTTGAATGTGGCACTAACCACCACCACCGTTACTACGATCAATGTTTGCGCATGTTCGAGATGAGTCTCACCAACAGTGTGTAAGTCATTAACAGTCCTAACTGTGGTGTTTTCCTCCAATGCCTTCCAACATCCATCAACTAACGTGAGTATTTTCTTCCTGGGATTTGGATGCTTTAGCCTAAAGGTGACTGCCACCAAGTGAGATAACTGTATGTCACTAACTTATAAGCCGCCTCCATGGCAGATGCTGCTGTGCTCCCTGATGCCCTGTGAGCACCGGGGTTGCCTGTGGCGCCTGCCATGTGACTCGGGCGCAGCATCAGCTGGCTGGAGGTGTGGCTTTCATAGACCTCCACAGGCTGCCTAGGACAAGATGACCAGGAGGGCCCAAGCCAGACAAAAGCCGGAGTGGGGAGAGAGGCATTTCAGCCAGACCAACAGGCTGAAGGAGCTGTGCAGACTATTGCTAAAATGAGGGTTCGCAGCTGCCAGGAGTCATCCCAGAACATTGCTACTTATTTATTAAAAAGCTAAAAACTAGTGAAAGCAAGTAACTGAACCAGTGAACTCTGGGTATCGATAGGTTCGTCTTAAATAGGCCACTTCCCCACTCCCCCACCCCCCCTTGCTTGGTCTTGTCCTTGGTGGCTAAGACTTAGCTCTGCAGGGGATGTTAAAGCACAGTTAGTAGGACGTGGCTCTGCACAGCCCAAAAACCAGCTTACTCCTTAGCCAGGGTGTGAGGCCTCGACTATATTCTTCAAAATGTACTTAGGCTCTGGTTACTGGGATGGCCAGTAGATGTAATGCAGATGGTTGGAGTTTGGGGAGGGTTAGGAGGCATCAAGCAGGACAAGGTGCTGCTGAGTTCAGAGGGCCCACGTTCAAGGGATGGAGGTGGAACCTGGAGACCGACTCTTAAAAGCACAGTCCGTGGTTGGGTGTGGTGGCTCATGCCTGTAAGTAAGTCTCAGCCCTTTGGAGGCCACAGCAGAAGGATTGCTTGAGCCCAGGTACTCAAACCAGCCTGGGCAACAGAGTGAGGCCCTGTCAAAAAAAAATCAGCCTTACTGTGAAGCCTCCAAGGCTGCTCGCAGGCAGCTGTGGCTCTCGGGAAGGGAGGCTGCTTTGCCCAGCAGGGAACATTTGGGGCAGGGGGTAAATTTTGCCAGTTTGAGCATCATGAGGTGTAACAAGAAATGGGTTGAATGGGCCAAATGCAAGGAGTGCATCTCTGGGCTGCAAACTGACTTGAGTGCTGCACTATTGCTATTCCGTGCAAACAAAACTCAGCTTTTCCTGACTCAGTTCCTTGACTTAGTGGCCTTTACAAAAAAAGTTGAGTAGTGTGTGGCCTGCTGTCGCACAGCCCCTAGTTAGCTTCATGGTTTCTCAGCTTCAGACCCCTCCAGCCCACAGAGGAGCCCATGGAGGGACCCACTTCCCTTGGTCCAGACAGCTGGGAGTGGGTTAGGCCCACTGCTGTTTTGAGCAGGGCCACTTGCTCCATTTCACTGAAGGCTTTGCTGGGTGAAAACACTTCAGCATCTCCTCCTCAGGTCAACCCATAAAGACCAGGTCCAGCACCGTGGTCTTGGCACATCCCTGGCCTCAGGCCCTCACCTAACAGTGAGGCAGCAGCTGCCCAGCCCCGCAATGTGCCTGCTGTCAGGCAGCTCTTGCCTGAAACTTACTTCCACATTCTTTCCTGATGGGCAGGTGGCTGAAGGCCCAGCCATCAGTGTCGCTTGTTGCCACCCCGTGCCTCCCTTGGCCTCTCTGAGCTTTGCCCAGAAGACCAACAATCATACATACCCTAACTGGGACACCACTCTGCAGAATGCAGATGATCCATTCTGGAGGAAGCTGTCCCTTGAGCTCAGTGAGCTCCCAGGCAAGCAGGGCATCTGGCCGACTTCCCTCACAACAGCTGCTCCCACATCCCCTCGGACTGGAGCTTCAGCCCTGACTGAGGTGGGCAGACCTAAGACCTGAGACCACAAGATTAGCTCAGTGTCTACCAAGCATCTAGCCACTGTCCAGGGCCAGAGCATACCACGTCTGCAGTGCCTGTGAGCAGAGCCAGCAGTTGCCCTGTGACTGTAACCACCAAATTGTCCAAACACCCGCTGCAGTTAGCAAGAAGGGTAGGCTTCACCCTCCTTTACTGAGGAGAATGATGCGGAGGAGTTTCCTCTCCAGGGCTAGGCAAGGCAGGCGAGCAGCCAGAAGCCGGGTGCCCACAGGGCAGGGACAGGAAGGCTGTGCTGCTACTGGCTGCTCACTTCTCCATCAACCTCACCCTCTGCACCACTAACCAAGACCTTGTCCTCTTGCCTGTCTCGCTGCTTTCACAGCTGCAACGATTGTGTCTGCCTCATGGGGTTTTCCTCCAGAGCCTTTATTCTGTAGCCAGACGACACGAGGAGTCTGTGTCACTGAGCCAGTGCTTCTAGATGCTACCCTGTGTGGGCGGCACCTCAGGGACAGTAAATCAGAAATGCTGGTCTTGAAACCTTGAAAAGATCAAGCTGAATGTTCCTTTTCATCTGTCGCTGTTGATCTTCATCTATTTAAATAGGTATTCTAACGTTTCCTCTCTGTATTTCATGAAGCTGATTTCCTCTCTCTTTCCTTTTCAGCAATACTGGAGTAACCGCTTCCTAAACCATTTTGCAGAAATGTAAGGGTGTTCGGTTGCGTGCATGTGCGTTTTTAGCAACACATCTACCAACCCTGTGCATGACTGATGTTGGGGAAAAAGAAAAGTAAAAAACTTCCCAACTCACTTTGTGTTATGTGGAGGAAATGTGTATTACCAATGGGGTTGTTAGCTTTTAAATCAAAATACTGATTACAGATGTACAATTTAGCTTAATCAGAAAGCCTCTCCAGAGAAGTTTGGTTTCTTTGCTGCAAGAGGAATGAGGCTCTGTAACCTTATCTAAGAACTTGGAAGCCGTCAGCCAAGTCGCCACATTTCTCTGCAAAATGTCATAGCTTATATAAATGTACAGTATTCAATTGTAATGCATGCCTTCGGTTGTAAGTAGCCAGATCCCTCTCCAGTGACATTGGAACATGCTACTTTTTAATTGGCCCTGTACAGTTTGCTTATTTATAAATTCATTAAAAACACTACAGGTGTTGAATGGTTAAAATGTAGGCCTCCAGTTCATTTTCAGTTATTTTCTGAGTGTGCAGACAGCTATTTCGCACTGTATTAAATGTAACTTATTTAATGAAATCAGAAGCAGTAGACAGATGTTGGTGCAATACAAATATTGTGATGCATTTATCTTAATAAAATGCTAAATGTCAATTTATCACTGCGCATGTTTGACTTTAGACTGTAAATAGAGATCAGTTTGTTTCTTTCTGTGCTGGTAACAATGAGCGTCGCACAGACATGGTTTCAGGTAAATAAATCTATTCTATGATAAATTCTCAGTGTGGTGGTGACTGTTCTGTGGGAGGGGGACTGATGGGCACCAAGGGCCTCCACTCCGCACCCGGGCCTGCCCCTCTACAGGGAAGCAGGGGAGGCTCAGTCTGGGCAGGGTGGCCATGTGACTAGAGGGGACAGGAACCTCTTGGACTCGACTTCACAGTAGACAGGCTGACTGGCAGCAGGTCCGCCCATGTGAAGCCCACCCTGGCTCCCTACCCTTTAAGGATGGGGGAAGCTGAGTGTGTGTTACCAGTGGGGTCTTAAACACACAAGGCCTCACTCGTCAGTGTGGTGAAGAAAGCCAAGACTCCGCGCTCTCCATTGTTAGCAGCCTGGAAAGATCTGGAGACTAGCAATGGAGAGATGTTTCTTAGGCTGTTCAGATCCAAAACTTCCACATTCCCCGTTGTTGATAGGTATGGGATGGAGAGGTGAACAGAACTGAAGCAGCTGTTGGAATTCATTTGCTGGTTACTTTAGTGCTTATTTGGCAGTGATGGGTTTGGGATTGGGTTTTTGGTTTTGCACATTCCCTAAGATGATTCTTTATCACTTTAAAAAATACCAGGATACAAGGATAGCTGGATGATTCTATAAATCTAATTTTTAAAACTATCAGTTCTGGGTAGGCACGGTGGCTCACGCCTGCAATCCCAGCACTTTGGGAGGCCGAGGCAGGCAGATCACAAGGTAGGAGATCGAGACCATCCTGGCTAACACGATGAAACCCCGTCTCTACTAAAAAAAATTGCCGGGTGCGGTGGCTCACGCCTGTAATCCCAGCACTTTGGGAGGCCGAGGCGGGCGAATCATGAGGTCAGGAGATTGAGACCATCCTGGCTAACATGGTGAAACCCCGTCTCCACTAAAAATTCAAAAAATTAGCCGGGCGTGGTGGTGGGTGCCTATAGTCCCAGCTACTCAGGAGGCTGAGGCAGGAGAACGGCATGAACCCGGGAGGCGGAGCTTGCAGTGAGCCGAGATCGCACCATTGCACTCCAGCCTGGGTGACAGAGCAAGACTCCGTCTCAAAAAAAAAAAAAAAAAACAACAACGAAAATACAAAAAATTAGCTGGGCATGGTGGCAGTTGCCTGTAGTCCCAGCTACTCAGGAGGCTGAGGCAAGAGAATGAATGGCGTGAACGTGCCACTGCATTCCAGCCTGGGCGACACAGCGAGACTCTACTGATCAGTTCTGCTGATGGAGAAAAAAAATTTGATAAAATTTAACATCCATTTTCTAAAAATTATTCCTATGTACCATTTATTATTAGAAACCAAAAGTGTTAACGCTTTAGAGTTGCATTCCAAGTCCACTCTTGCCCACTACCAAACACTGTTCTAGAGGTGCTAGTCAGTACAATCGGGCACGAGAAGGAAAAAATGCCTTGGAATGAACAAAAAGCGATCAGGGGTCATACTGGGTCAATGTTCCTAGACAGGAACTATTTTGTTCCTAGTTAGAAATGTTTAATGATTCAGGGAAAATTGACAGCTGAATGGGAGTGACATATAATTCATACTGATATATGAGAATACCAATGGTGGCCTTAGGCCAATCCTAACAAACATCAGGCAGACAAAAACCAAGGAAGCACACCAAACCTCTTAAAGCTATGGTAATTCAGTGCATCACTTGAGAAGGGTGGTGTTTCAGCTTAGTAGGTAATAGTTGGATTATTATGTGGGGGGTCATCTTGAGAAAAATAAAGCTGTATCCCTTACACCCAATAAATTGCAAACGGATCAAAATACTTGGAAAATGCAACTATACCCCCAAAAGAAACATGGTTAAATGGTGTAAACGAGAGAAAACAAATAGCTCATGTGAAAAGATGCTCAACTCCACTGGCAAATTAAAATCACGAGGTAACGTCTCGAGAAGTGGGTCTTCTGATGCCAAGGATGGAGCAGCTTGCGAGGATGAACTCTAGGGAATGACCGAAATCACTCAGCCTAGAGGTGTTCTCAACACCCTTACCCCTGCCCCCGCCCCAAGCAGGTCCACTCCTAGAGAATCTCACACATGGGGAAGAGCCACAGCAGAGTTTTTGGAGAAAAATGAAACCACCAGCAGGAAAATGGGTGAGTACATTCAGGCATATTCAGATGATGCTCAGCTATGAAATAAGCTAGAACTACGTTATCAACCTAAATAAATCCTGAACAGTGAAGCCAAGTGCAGCAACATATCAATATGCACAATACCGCCTCATATCCTCTAAACGTGGCCCACGGGCCAGGCTGGCTGAGAGAAAGTGTGTACACCAGAGTGTACATCAACGTGGACTAGTACCAAACAGATTGGTAATGAGTTTGTGGACATCAGCCAGAGGCTGTGAAAGCCCGAATCGATAGTGGTTAATTCAGTGAGGGAGAGGGGCGGAGACGAGGAAAGGCAGATACTGCTTTACCTATCAGTAAGGAAAGTATAGACAGAGGTGTTCATTATGCCTGTTTGCGTGTCAGATTTTCATTTTTGGGGAGGGTGGGAAGTGACAGTGTCCCAGGCTGGGGTGCAACGGTGCCATCATGGCTTGCTGCAGCCTCAACCTCCTGGGTTCAAGCGATCCTCCTGCCTCAGCCTCTTGAGTAGCTAAGACTATAAGTGCACACTACCACACCTGGCAAATTTTATAATTTTTGGTAGAAATGGGATCTTGCTACTTGCCCAGGCTGGTCTTGAACTCCTGGCCTCTAGTGACCCTCTCATGTCAGCTCCCCTAGTCGCTGGGATTACAAGCATAAGCTACCACACACAGCTCTCAGATTTTTAAATATCTATATCCTTTGATCAAGAACTTCACTTTCCTGAAATCCTCCCATATGTTCAAAAAGTATAATCCCTACTGCACTCTTGTAGCAGAAGAGTGGAAATAAGCTGATGTTCATCAAGAGGCAAGAACTGAATAAGGTAGAGAGCATTCAAACCATGGAATACCGTGCAGCCTTTGAAAAAGACAAGGTACACGTGTGTACGAGCAAGGAATGATGTCTGATATACGTTGTCTGCCCAGGGAAATATTCAATTACAGAGCAGTTTGTATTATAATCTACCATTTTTTAGAAACAGAAGGAAGTTAACAGTTTCTAGTAATGACAGTTGCTGAGAATAACAAAATGCTGCATATAGATGGCAGATGGTGGAAGCCAGGTCTCTCTGTTGGAGTGGGAGGAAGCAGAGGAAGCAAGGGGAGAAGCTAAGATAAGCAAGGGGAGGAAGCTAGAATAATCCATGTGGTAATGAATTAGAGCCGGAGATATCAGGATGAAGTCATGTTTAGCTTCATATGTACGGATGGTTTCATATAGAAACACTGATAGTGGCGAGGCACAGTGACTCACGCCTATAATCTCAGCACTTTAGGAGGCTGAGGCAGGAGGATGAGGAGCCCAGCAGTTTGAGACCAGCCTGGGCAACACAGTGAGACCCCACATCTACAAAAAATTTTAAAAATTAGCCAGGCATGGTGGTGCCTGCCTGTAGTCCCAGCTACTCTGGAGGCTGAGGCAGGAGGATCACCTGAACCCAGCAGGACAAGATCACACCAGTGCACTCCACCCTGCACGACGCAGCGAGAGCCTGTTTCAAGAAAAGGAAAAAAGAAAAACTGCTGACTGTGATGTGTATATACACTGGTCACTACACACATGCATTTCCTTGTACTGTCAGCTCAGAAGGCAATGAACACACTTGGCTTCCAGTGTTAGGTTTCTAATGCCATTCTCCAGTAAAAAAGGGCTCCTTGGAGAAATGGCTGATTCTAGAGATGGGACAGAAAACGTACAGTACGTGCCTGAAGAATACCAAAGCACCAGAAAGGAAGGGCTCAAAAACAGCAATCAAAGATGTGGTTATGTGAAAGGAACACAGGAGCCAACTGAAAAAGCCACAACAGCCGAAGAATGTGAGCAACAAAATAAAGCAGTATTGGACTAGAATCCAAAGTATAAATATCCATAAGTCCACGCTGACATAAACAAATAAATAAATGGGGGTGACTACAAATCTTCCATGCAGAATTCCAAGTAATTTACATGGACACTGCCTCAGGAGGTGGAGACTCACCTCCTCTGTGGGCTGTGCAATGTTCCAAAGAGTACATACAGTAGGGATGGGAAAGTGCCCGTCACTGTGGAGACCTGACATGCTACCTCAGCCAGGGGGCGTCATCTTGAAAGCATGGGCCCTTGATCTGAAGTGATGAAAATGGCATTTTACCTTTGTGGTCTTCCTCTCAAAATACACAACCTCAGTCTAATCATCATCAGAAAACACCTGACCAATCCCCAAACGAAAAATCCCTGACTGGTATTCCTCAAAACTGTTGAGGTCATCAAACCAGGAAAGTGAGAAAAGTATAATCATCAGAATGTAAAAACGAATGGGGCCAGGTGCAGTGGCTCACGCCTGTAATCCCAGCACTTTGGGAGGCCAAGGTAGTTGGATCACTTGAGGTCAGGAGTTCAAGACCAGCCTGATCAACATGGTGAAACCCCATCTCTACTAAAAATACAAAAAAATTACCTGGGCATGATGGTGCATGCCTGTAATCCCAGCTACTCAGGAGGCTGAGGCAGGAGAATCGCTTAAACCTGGGAGGCGGAGGTTGCAGCAGTGAGCCGAGATCAAGCCACTGCATTCTCGGCTGGGCAACAGAGAGAGACTCTGTCTCCACAAAAAAAAAAAAAAAAAGGCCGGGCGCGGTGGCTCACGCCTGTAATCCCAGCACTGGGAGGCCAAGGCAGGTGGATCATGAGGTCAGGAGATTGAGATCATCCTGGCTAACATGGTGAAACCCCATCTCTACTAAAAATACAAAAAAAAAAAAAAGAAAGAAAGAAATTAGCCAGGCATGGTGGCGGGCGCCTGTAGTCCCAGCTACTCAGGAGGCTGAGGCAGGAGGATGGTGTGAACCCAGGAGGCGGAGCTTGCAGTGAGCCGAGATTGCACCACTGCACCCCAGCCTGGGCAACAGAGGGAGACTCCATCTCACCAAAAAAAAGAATAAAAAAAAGGTTGGCCAGCCTGGGCAATATAGTGAGACCTCAAATCGGCAAAAAATTTAAAAATTGGCCAGGCAAGGTGGCTCATGACTGTAATCCCAGCACTTTGGGAAGCTGAGGAGGGTGGATCGCGAGGTCAGCAGTTCAAGACCAGCCTGGCCAAGATGGGGAGACCCCGTGTTTACTAAAAATACAAAAAAAAAAAAAAATAGCCAGGTGAAGTGGCAGGCACCTGTAAACCCAGCTACTTGGGAGGCTGAGGCAGGAGAATCGTTTGAACCCGGGGGGCGTAGGTTGCAGTGAGCAGAGATTGCGCCATTGCACTCCAGCCTGGCTGGGCGATTGAGACTCCGTCTCAAAAAAATAAATAAATAAAAATTAAAAATTATCCTGGCATAGTAGCACATGCCTGTAGTCCCAGCTACTGAGGGGCCCAAGGCGTGAGGATCACGTGGGCACAGGAGTTTGAGGTTACAGTGAGCTGACTGCACCACTGGACTCTAGCCTGAACACAGCAAGACCCTGCCTGTCGCAAAAAAAAAAAACAAAAACAAAAACAAAACAACTTCATGGTTGGATGTGGCATCAAAATTGACACAGCAAAATAATGAATGAGGCTGGGCGCGGTGGCTCACGCCTGTAATCCCAGCACTTTCGGAGGCCAAGGCAGGCAGATCACCTGAGGTCGGGAGTTTGAGACCAGCCTGACCAACATGGAGAAATCCCGTCTCTACTGAAAATACAAAATTAGCCCAGCCTGGTGGCAGTAGCCTGTAATCCCAGCTACTTGGGAGACTGAGGCAGGAGAATCACTTGAACCCGGGAAGTAGAGGTTGCAGTGAAACGAGATCGTGCTATTGCACTCCAGCCTGAGCAACAAGAGCGAAACTCTGTCTCAAAAAATAATAATAATAATAATGAAATGGTCGATGAGAATAAATTAATTAGAATGCAGCAGAAGGTGAGGGTGGGGAGAAAAGGCTAGAAAACATGCAGGAAAGGTAAGATACCTAGAAGACAGACTGAGAAAAGCGACAAAGTCAAATATACATTTCACTACCTTCAAAAGAGGGCCAGGCACAGTGGCTCACGCCTGTAATCTCAGCACTTTGTGAGACTGAAGCTGGAGGATCACTTGAGCCCAGGAGTATGGAACAGTCTCGGCTACTTGGGAAGCTGAGGCAGGAAGATCACTTGAGGCCAGAAGGTGGAAGCTGCAGTGGCCATGAGTATACCACTGCACTCCAGCCTGGACCACAGGCACATGCTGTCACATCTGGCTAATTAAAAAAAAATTTTTTTTACTGGGTGTGGTGGCGCATGCCTGTGCAGCTACTCGGGAGGCTGAGATGGGAGGATCACTTAAGTCCAGGATACAGGATAACTAAAAAGAAATCCAGGCTAGGTATGGTGGTTCACACACGTAATCTCAGCACTTTGGGAGGCCCAAGGTGGGAGGGCTGCTTGAGCCCAGTACTTTGAAACCAACCTGGGAAACAGCAAAAAACCATCTCTACCGAAAAAAACAAAAACAAAAATTAGGTGGGCATGGTAGTACATTCCTATATTCCGCATTCCCAGCTACTTTGGAGGCTGAGGCGGGAGGATGTCTTGAGTCTGGGAGGCGGAGGTTGCAGTGAGCTGAGATTGCACCACCGCACTTCCCAGCCTGAAGGACAGAGCCAGATCCTATCTCAAAAAAAAAAAAAAAAAAAAAAAAAAAAAAAGAGAGAGAGAAGTCAATCATTCCAGCCCTAGTAATAAACTGCAGAAAACCAAAGAAAATCTTAAGAGCAGTGGGGGACGGGGCAGAGGTAAATATCATCTTCAAAGGAGACTGACATTACAACAGTAACAATGAAAGCCAGAAACCAACGGGATGGCAGCTTCATGTGCTGAAGGCGATTAATGGCAACCTGGAGAGAGTATGTAGTATTTAAGCATATAGTATTCAGGGTGAAATAAAGATATTTTTAGGCAAAAACAGGGTTCAGGCCGGGCACAGTGGCTCATGCCTGTAATCCCAGCACTTTCAGAGGCCAAGGTGGGAGGACCATTTGAGGTCAAGAGTTTGAGACCAGCCTGGCCCAACATGGTGAAACCCCATCTCTACTAAAAATACAAAAACTAGCTGGGCGGTAGTGGTGCACATCTGTAATCCCAGCTACTCAGGAGTCTGAGGCAGGAGAATCACTTGAGCCTGGAAGATGGAGGTTGTAGTGAGCCGAGATCATACCACTCCAGCCTGAGCAACACAGTGAGACCCTGTCTCAAAAAAAAAAAAAAAAAAAGAAAGAAAAGAAAGAAACAGTTCTTCATCAGCAGACCCACACTAAGGGAAACTCCAGATGGGGTGGGTGTAAACAGAATTTAAATGATCTGAGAGCTTTTGTCATCCAAGAGGACAGACAGTAAAGACATCAGTTAACTTTAGGTGTGGATATGTTAAATAAATACATTGCAATTCCTAGGATAACCACTAAAGGAACAGAAACACAGGCCAGACTAGCATGCTGCCTGAAGGAAAAAAAGGAACCTAAAATTACAGAATAGCAAGGATAAGATGATAGATTCCAACCCCAAATATAATCAATAACAACGTTTTAAGAATATACTAAATATGTTATTCCTGTTCCTCTATTACAAGAGAATGATTTTAGCATGGCTGAGACATTCCTATTTTGGAAAGCAATCTGTACATTTTTTTTTTTTTTTTTTTGAGACAGAGTCTCGCACTGTTGCCCAGGCTGGAGTGCAGTGGCATGATCTTAGCTCACTGCAAGCTCCGCCTTCCAGGTTCACGCTATTCTCCTGCCTCAGCCTCCCAAGTAGTTGGGACTACAGGCACCTGCCACCACGCCCAGCTAATTTTTTTTTTCTGTATTTTTAGTAGAGCCAGGTTTCACTGTGTTAGACAGGATGGTCTCGATCTCCTGACCTCGTGATCCATCCGCCTCAGCCTCCCAAAGTGCTGGGATTACAAGCATGAGCCACCGTGCCCAGCCTAGCAATCTGTACTTCTGACAGGACTCCCTGCAGGGGGAGGAGAGAAAAACATGTCCAGTAGTCAGCCAGTGAGTGTTGGTAAAGTTTAAATTGGATGTTTTTCCATCAAAATAAGTAGAGGCTGGGTGCAGTAGCTCACACCTGTAATCCCGGTAATTTGGGAGGCCAAGGCAGAAGGATCACTTGAGCCCAGGAGTTCGAGACCAGCCTGAGTAACATAGTGAGAACCTTGTTGCTACAAAAAATTAGCCAAGGCCGGACACAGTAGCTCATGCCTATAATCCCAGCACTTTGGGAGGCTGAGGTGGGCAGATCATGAGGTCAGGAGTTCGAGACAAGCCTGATCAACATGGTGAAACCCCATCTCTACTAAAAATACAAAAATTAGCCAGGTGTGGTGCACATAAGTAGCAATCATAAAAATGTATTTTGTAAGTTTGGAAATTACTGGGCGACAGAGTGAGACTCCATCTAAAAAAAAAAAAAATTAGCCGAGTGTGGTGACGTGTGCCTGTAGTCCCAGCTACTAGGGAGGCTGAGGCAGGAGGATCACTTGAGCCTGGGAGGTTGATGCTGAAGTGAGCCACGATCACGCCACTGCACTCCAGCTTGCACAAGAGTGAGACCCTGTCTCAAGAAAATAAATAAGTAGAAATCATAAAAATGTGTTTTTTAAGTTTGGAAATTACTCAAAATGCCTTGATTTGTGACTAAGAATGTACAAACTTTAACATTTATTTTTTTTTATATTTATCAATCATAACCTGTTTAAGAAACAGATTCTATTGAAAACTGGGACTTAACCAGGCACAGTGTCTCATGGCACAATCTCGGCTCACTGCAAACTCCATCTCCCAGGTTCATGCAATTCTCCTGCTTCAGCCTCCCGAGTAGCTGGGATTACAGGTTTACATCACCATGCCCAGCTAATTTTTTGTATTTTCAGTAGAGACGGGGCGCTTCACTATGTTGGCCAGGCTAGTATCAAACTCCTGACCTCAGGTGACCCACCCGCCTCAGCATTTTTTTTTTTTTTTTTGAGACAGAGTCTTGCTCTGTCGCCCAGGCTGGAGTGCAGTGGCGCAATCTCAGCTCACTGTAACCTCCACCTTCGGGGTTCAAGCAATTCTCCTGCCTCAGCCTCCTGAGTAGCTGGGATTACAGGCACGCGCCACCACGCCCGGCTAATTTTTGTACTTTTAGTAGAGACGGGGTTTCATCATGTTGATCAGGCTGGTTTTGAACTCCTGACCTCATGATCTGCCCACCTCAGCCTCCCAAAGTGTTGGGATTACAGGCGTAAGCCACGATGCCTGGCCACAGTTTTTTTTTTAATTACAGGGTCTCGCTATGTTGCCCAGGCTGTAGTGCAGTGGCTATTCACAGGCATGATCCCACCACCGATCAGCACAGGAGTTCTGACCTGCTCCGTTTCTGACCTGGGCCAGTTCACCCCTCCTTAGGCAACCTGGTGGCCCCCCACTCCCTGGAGGTCACCATCTTGATGCCGAACTTAGCGCAAACACCCGATTGGCATAGTGCACTGCAGCCCAGAACTCTGGGGCTCAAGCGATCCTTGCACCTCAGCCTCCCAAGTAGCTGGGACTACAGGCACACGCCACTGTGCCTGGCAAAAAAAAAAATTTTTTAATTAGCCAGATGTGCAGGCACGTGCCTGTGGTCCCAGCTAAGTGGGAGGCTGAGGTGGGAGAATGGTTTGAGCCCAGGAGGTTGAGGCTGCAGTGAGCTGTGATCATGCCACTGTACTCCAACCTGGGTGACAGAGTAAGACACTGTCTCAAAAACAAAAAAAGAAAAAAAAAATGAGAGTTTTGGCTGGGTACGGTGGCTCAAGCCTGTAATCCCAGCACTTTGCGAGGCCAAGGCGGGTGGATTATCTGAGGTCAGGAGTTCAAGATCAGCATGGCTAGCATGGTGAAACCCCGTCTCTACTAAAACTACAAAAATTTGTCCGGCGTGGTGACAGGCACCTGTAATCTCAGCTACTTGGGAGGCTGAGGCAGGAAAATCGCTTGAGCCCAGGAGGCAGAGGTTGCAGTGAGCCGAGAGTGCACCACTGCATTCCAGCCTGGGCAACAGAGCAAGACTTAAAAAAAAAAAAGACTTTACTTTTTATAAACTCTGCTGATGAACTGTGCAAATACAAAAGGGGGGTGGCATATGCATATCCACTTATGTGATTTCAAATTATTTCTGGAAAAATACATGAGAAACTAGTAACTATGGTTCCTTCTAGAGAGGCAACTAGAAGGCAGGCAGGGTGGGGAAATTTCATAATTTCCCTTTTTGAAAATTGCTGTCTAGTCTATTTAGAAAGAAAAAAAGAAAACTGCTCTGACTTATTATGTGTGAATCTTAAAAGGATATATATATAGGCCAGGGTTAATGGCTCATGCCTATAATCCCAGCACTGGCAGGCTGAGGTGGGCAGATCACTTGAAGGCAGGAGCTTGTGACCAGCCTGGCCAACATAGCGAAATCCCATCACTACTAAAAATACAAAAAAATTAGCTGGGTGTGGTGGAGCATGCCTGTAATCCCAGCTACTCGGGAGGCTGAGGTAGGAGAAACATTTGAACCTGAGAGGAGGAGATTGCAGTGAGCTGAGATCATGCCACTGTACTCCAGCCTGGGCAACACAGCGAGACTCTGTCTCAAAAAATAATACTAAAAACCAATAAAATTGGATCCCTACATCACACCATAGAGAGTACATTTTGACCTTGAGTAAGGAAGGATTTCTTAAGAATTGTAAAACACGGGCCGGGCACGGTGGCTCACGCTTGTAATCCCAGCACTTTGGGAGGCCGAGGTGAGTGGATCACGAGATCAGGAGATCAAGACCATCCTGGCTAACACAGTGAAACCCCGTCTCTACTTAAAAAAAAAAAAAAAAAAAAAAAAAAAAAATTAGCCAGGCTTGGTGGCACACACCTGTAGTCCCAGCTACTCGGGAGGCTGAGGTTGCAGTGGGCAGAGATCGCGCCACTGCACTCCAGCCTGAGGGACAGAGTAAGACTCCATCTCAAAAAGAAAAAGAATTGTAAAGCACAACCATAAAGAAAAAGATTCAACTATATTAAAATTAAGACCCTCTGTTAACCAAAAGATACCACAGAGAATGACAAGCCATAAACTGGAAGAAGATATTGCCAACTCATGTTCGAAATTGTATCTAGAATATACAAAGAATGACTATGAATTAATGAGAACAAGATAATCCAATAGAAAAGTAGGCAAAACAACAGGAATTTCAGAGAAGAGGAAATCATTCCTCTGCAAAATCGTTACTAAATATATAAAATATTGTTCAATATTATTACAAAACAGGAAAATCTAAATTACAGTAACTATGTCATCTCACACACAGTGTATTGGAGAAAATTAAAGATTGATAATACCCAGTTAGTGAGGAAATGGAACAAAGTGCTGCAGGTGAGCATGTTGATTTGTACATTATATATTTCTGTAAAAATAAAATACATAGCAGAAGCAGTTTGAAACAAAAAGTTAGAAAAAAAAGTCCATCAACAGAATAAAATGGATACCTTATATCCACGCAGATTCTTATATTGCAATGAAAACTGAATAAGGCACCCTACAAAACCCTTGACGAGTACTCCTCAAAACTGACAAAGTTAGTAAAAACAAGTGTGAGAAACTGATAGCCATGAGGAGCCTAAGGAGACATGATGACTATGTAATGTGGAATCTTAGATGAGATTCTGAAACAGAAAAAGGACATTAGGAAAAAAACTGAGTAAATCTGGGCCAGGTGTGGTGGCTTATGCCTGTAATCCCAACACTTTGGGAGGCCGAGACAGGTAGATCACCTGAGGTCAGGAGTTCGAGACCAGCCTGGCCAACACGGCAAAACCCTGACTCTACTATAAACACAAAACATTAACTGAAGGTGGTGGGGGGAGGCTGAGGCAGGAGAATCACTTGAACCCAGGAGGTAGAGGTTGCAGTGAGCCGAGATCACACCACTGCACTCCAGCCTGAGTGACAGAGCGAGACTCCATCTCAAAAAAAAAAAAAAAAAAAGCAAATCTGAAAAACCATGGACTTTAGTTAATAATAATGTATCGGCTGGGCACAGTGGCTCATGCCTGTAATCCCAACACTTTGGGAGGCCCGAGGCAGGCGGATCACAAGGTGAGGAGTTCAAGACCAACCTGGCCAACAGGGTGAAACCCTGTCTCTACTAAAAATACAAAAAATTAGCTGGGCGTGGTGGCGGGCACTTATAATCCCAGCTACGTGGGAGGCTGAGGCAGAAGAATTGTTTGAACCCAGGAAGCGGAGCTTGCAGTGAGCCGAGATTGTGCCATTGCACTCCAGCCTGGGTGACGACAGGGCAAGACTCCATCTCAAAAAAAAAAAAAAAAAAAGTATCAATGTTGGCTCATTAATTGTGATAAATGTTCCATGGTACTGTAAGATATTAACAATAGGGGAAACTGTGTGTGTGGGGGGGAACACGTGGTTACTTTCTGTGCTATCCACCCAATTTTTCTGCAAATCTAAAACTGTTCTAAAAATAGTCTATTAAAAATACTCCAGGTTGGGCACAGTGGCTCACACCTATAATCCCATCACTTTGGGAAGCCAAGGCAAGCAGATTGGTTGAGCTCACGTGTTCGAGACCAGCCTGGGCAACATGTTAAACCCCATCTCTACAAAAAATACAAAACATTAGGCCAGGTGTGGTGGCTCATGCCTGTAATGCTAGTAATTTGGGAGGCTGAGATGGAGGACTGCTTGAGGCCAGGAGTTTGAAACCAGCCTGCTCAACTTAGTGAGACCCCATCTGTTACATTTTTTTTTTTTTAAGATGGAGTCTCGCTCTGTCACCCTGGCTGGAGTGCAGTGGCGCGATCTCGGCTCACTGCAAGCTCCGCCTCCTGGGTTCACGCCATTCTCCTGCCTCAGCCTCCTGAGTAGCTGGGATTACAGGCGCCCGCCACCACGCCCAGCTAATTTTTTTGTATTTTTAGTAGAGACGGGGTTTCACCATGTTAGCCAGGATGGTCTCGATCTCCTGACCTCGTGATCTGCCCGCCTTGGCCTCCCAAAGTGCTGGGATTACAGGCGTGAGTCACTGTGCCCAGCCTAGATTTTTTTTTTAATAAAAAGAAAAAAAAATTAGGGGCTGGGAGCGGTGGCTCACGCCTGTAATCCCAGCACTTTGGGAGGTTGAGGTGGGCAGATCACTTAAGACCAGGAGTTTGAGACCAGCCTGGCCAGCATGGTGAAACCCCATCTCTACTAACAATACAAAAATTAGCCTGGTGTGGTGGCATATGCCTGTGATCCCAGCTACTTGTGAGGTTGAGGCAGGAGAATCACTTGAACCCAGGAGGTGGCGTTTGCAGTGAGCCGAGATTGCCCTACTGTATTCCAGCCTGGGTGACAAAGCTAGACTCCATCTCATAAATAAATAAATAAATAAATAAATAAATAAATAAATGATAATCATGGAACAACATACAACATTCAAAGTTCAAAACAAGCAAATAAATAAATAATTGCCGGGCATGGTGGCTCATGCCTGTAATCCCAGCACTTTGGGAAGCCAAGGTGGGCGGATCATGAGGTCAGGAGTTTGAGACCAGCCTGGCCAACATTGTAGAACCCTGTCTCTACTAAAAATACAAAAAAGAAAAAAAATTAGCTGGGCATGGTGGTGCACACCTGTAATCCCAGCTACTTGGGAGGCTGAGGTGGAAGGATTGCTTGAACCCAGGAGGCAGAGGTTGCAGTGAGCCAAAATCACACCACTACACACTCCAACCTGGGTGGGAGACTGAGACTCTGGCTCAAAAAAAAAAAAAAAAAAAAAAAGGCTGGGCATGGTGGCTCATGCCTGTAATCCCAGTACTTTGGGAGGCCGAGGCGGGCGGATCACGAGGTCAGGAGATTGAGACCATCCTGGCTAACACGGTGAAACCCCATCTCTATGAAAAATACAAAAAATTAGCCAGGCGTGGTGGCGGGCGCCTGTAGTCCCAGCTACTCGGGAGGCTGAGGCAGGAGAATGGTGTGAACCCGGGAGGCGGAGCTTGCAGTGAGCCGAGATTGCGCCACTGCACTCCAGCCTGGGTGACAGAGCAAAACTCCATCTCAAAAAAAAAAAAAAAATTATCTGGCCATGGTGGGGTGGGTGCTTGTAATCCCAGCTACTTGGGAGACTGAGGCAGGAGAATTGCTTGAATCTGGGAGGCAGAGGTTGCAGCGAGCCAAGATCAAACCACCGTACTCCAGCCTGGGTGACAGAGCAAGATTCTGCCACAAAAGAAAAAAAAAAGTGTTGTTTAGGATAAAAATGTGGTAAAAATAAAAATGAAACAAGGGAACAATGGTATTATTTTACAGATAAGAAAAATGAGGTTGTTATTTACCCAAGCTTCAAAAGACTTTCAGGGTCACAAAATAAAAGAAGTAATAAAACAAAATTCACTCATGGGTACTTCTGGCAGGAGTGGGGCTAGAGGAGTAGGGCCAGCTGGGATCAGCCTGGCGCACAGGCGTGTGGGGGTCCTGGAAATGTTCTATTTTGTGACCTGGGTGGTTGTGTACACATTTTTCCTGTGGTTTTGTAAACACTTCTACTATGCTTTCACATGCTTCTGTATGTATGCTGTATTTCACCAATGTCCCATTTTTATTAAAATAATCAAGAAATCCCTGCCAGGCCCCAGGCAGGCTCTTGGCCTGGGCTCACTGGAGGTTCATTATGCACAGGGACCACTCTCCCAGATCTGCTCAGGGGTCTCCACACAGCCTTGACTCAGAGAGGGCCCCTCCCTGGCCTCCCCTAGGAGGACAGAAGCTGCCTCCAGGTCACTGCGTGGCTTGTGTCTATGCCCAGCATTCTGGAACAAGCTCCAGTAGGGGGATATACACGAGGTCACCTCTCTCCCTTCCTGTCACACTAGTAGGCTTCACCAAACAGCAGCAGCACAGATGTGGGGAGTGGCCTGGGCCTGCAGGGGTCCTGGTGTCAGCTCGTTTGGGCCCCTCAAGGCTGGGGCTTCAGTCTGGGAGCCACCTTGTCTGAAGGACAGACCCCTGCTGGCTGTGGTTCCTACTCAATTCCTAGACCAAACCTCTGTTGCCCCATGGAGACTGATAGGGAAGATGGGCCCGTGGGCCGAGGGGCCAGCTGACTAGGTCATGGGTAGAGGATGACCCAAACATGAAAAAAATAACTTCCCTGGGCCTCTTGCTTACGCAAGACCAGGCCCAGCACTTAGGGGTTCAGGTCAAATCCACTGATCTAGTGCCAAAGGGGTCCTAGCCCACAGGGCAGAAGGCAAGGTTACCATCCTCAGGGATGCTGGCCTGACAAGGACCAAGGTTTAGCCCTCAGAGGCTGCTCCCCACCCATACACCCCTCCGAGGGCTCCAAGTGCTGCCACCCCTGCTACAAGGCCCCTTTCATGTTATGCCCCCACCTGACGACAGTGGAAGACCCAACTCTCTGAGTCTTATACCAAAGGAACATGGAGGTACAGAGAACCCAAGGGAGCTGCCCATAGCCACACAGCCAGTGACAGGCCATGAGGCAGAGGCAGAGGCTTCCCGAGGGTGGAGAGAGGCCCTCCCCCAGGCCTCAGCCCTCCTAGTGAGGAGGGTGGGTACCTCTGAGGCGGCACTGAAGGAGGGGGACTCAGGGACGATACAAGCAGCCAGCACCCCCCCGACCCCAACACACACAAAACCTCATCAAGCACAGTCTCCCTCAGCCCTCAACAGGGGAGGAACTGACCTCAGTCCAGGAAATACCCCAACTGCAGAGCCAGGCGAGGGGGAGGGACCCCAAATCCCACAGCCAGGAGAAAGCTAAGGGGGAGGCCTGAGAGGATCGCAGAGAGCACAAGCTCCTAGCTCCAGCAAGAGGAAGCGGAGCAGACGCTCAAGAGACTGCAGAGCTCCTGGTTTGCCCCTAACCTGAAGCCCACGGAGGGGCTCCCTGGGTAGACAGGGTGGCTGCCGGGCTAACCTGGGCATATGTGTTTGCCACGCAGAGAGGACAAGCCAGCCAGGTCCCTTGAAAGTTCCAAAAAAGATTATACTCTCACTCCAAAATCCCCCTGCTGAGAATTTACCCAAAGAAGGAAAAAAAATAGCACAAAGGAGGTCACCAGAGGGTTGTTTATAAAGAGAGAGACACTGGAAGATTTAAGTGGCCAGCGAGAGCTGTGTCGTGACGCGCTGTCCTTGCCAGACTGTCTGCAGCCTTTAGACAAAGCAAGGCTGAGGCCTGCAGCAACAGACGGTGAGGCGGGCTTAGTGTGGCTGTTTTCTCTGGAACAGAATATATGATACAATTGCAGAGAGATCCGTTAAGACCATACTGAAACTCCAGGGCAGGAGGCTCTGGACAGACGAAAACAGCTAATGTGTCCATCTGAGACTCAGTGCACTCATCTGTGAAAGCGGCCAATTCTACCTCTCCAACTTCAGGGGGTGTGAGGCTGAGATGTGGTAATGTAGGCAAAGGCCATGCCTCGTGGCCTGTCTCAGAGGAGCACTCACAAAATAGCAGCTGGGGCCGGGCGCCATGGCTCACACCTGTAATCCTAGCACTTTGGGAGGCCAAGGCGGCCAGATCATGAGATCAGGAGTTCGAGACCACCCTGACCAATATGGTGAAACCCCGTCTCTACTAAAAATACACAAATTAGGCAGGTGTGGTGGCCCATGCCTGTAATCCCAGCTACTCGGGAGGCTGAGGCAGGAGAATTGCTTGAACCTGGGAGGTGGAGGTTGCAGTGAGCCGAGATAGCACCACTGCACTCCAGCCTGGGCAACAGAGTGAGACTCTGACTCAAAATAAATAAATAAATAAATAAAAATAAAGAAAAGAAATAGCAGCTAGGGGCCAGGGTGCGGTGGCTCACACCTGTAATTCCAGTGCTTTGGGAGGCCAAGGCCCGCGGATCACCTGAGGTGAGGAGTTTGAGACCAGCCCGGCCAACATGGTGAAACCCTGTCTCTAGTAAAAATACAAAAATTAGCCAGGCGCGGTGGCGCATGCCTGTAATCCCAGCTATTCAGGAGGCTGAGGCAGGAAAATCACTTGAACCCAGGAGGGGGAGGTTGCAGTGAGCCAAGACTGTGCCACTGCACTCCAGCCAGGGCGACAGAGCAAGACTGTCTTAAGGAAAAAAAAAAAAAAAAAAAAAAAAAAAAAAAAAAAAAAAGGCGGGTGCAGTGGTTCACGCCTGTAATCCCAGCACTTTGGGAGGCCAAGGCAGGCGGATCACCTGAGGTCAGGAGTTTGAGACCAGCCTGACCAACATGGAGAAACCCCGTCTCTACTAAAAATACAAAATCAGCCGGGCATGGTGGCACATGCCTGTAATCATGTGCCAGATGGAGAGTGAAACTCCGTCTCAAAAAAAAAAAAAAAAAAAAAAAAAGGAAGAAAGAAAAAAGAATAGCAGCTAAGGCAAATAAAAGCAAGGGAGTACTGATCAAATCTGAGGTTGGTAAAAACAATAAAAACCAAATGAAAGCACTTAATGATAGTGGTGCTGATGAGGGGCAGGCAAACAGGCACTTGCACCTGTTATTGTTGGAGGGTAATCGGGCAGCACCCATGAGACATGTCAATGCACACAATCTGAGACCCAGGAATTTCACTGCAAGGAACTTGACTTCTGCATATCCTTGGAATATTATGGCAAAATATGTTCATGACAGCACAGACTGAAATAATTATGTTCAAGACTGGAAAACAAGTGTCCACCAGTAGCAGAAGGGTTGCGGAAATTGTTCCTTCTGCAGAATGGATTCTGCAGTACTGATGATTAAGGGGTGCACTGACGCTGCACAGAATGTCCCTGTGCACAGCACGGCCTCGTATTTTTTTTTTCATACGGGGTCTCTGTCGCCCCAGCTTAAGTGAAGTGGCACAATCTCGGTTCACTGCAACCTCCACCTCCTGGGTTCAAACGATTCTCCTGCCCTACCCTCCCAAGTAGCTGAAACTACAGGCGACCACCACCCACGCCTGGCTAATTTTTGTATTTTTAGTAGAGACGGGGTTTCACCGTGTTAGCCAGGATGGTCTAGATCTCCTGACCTCAGGTGACCCACCAGCCTTGGCCTCTCAAAGTGCTGGGATTACAGGCATGAGCCACCGTGCCTGGCAGAATATTTTTTATAATATATATAGTTAAGGAAAAGCACAAAACTATTTTTACAAAAGTAGAACCAGAAACTTATTTTGGGGAGAGACAATAAATTCAGTGGATTGGGAAGTAGATGTATTTCTAATTTTATGCCTTCCATGGTTTAATTTTTTTTTTTTTTTTTTGAGAGGGTGTCACTGTGTTACCCAGGCTGGAGTACAGTGATGCAACCACAGCTCATTGCAACCTCCACCTTCTGGGCTCAAGCAATCCTCCCACCTCAGCCTCCTGAGTAGCTCCCGTGTGCATTGAAGCTGGGACCATAGGGACACACCACCATGCCCAGCTAATTTAAAAATTTTTTTGTAGACATGGGGTCTATGTTGCCCAGGGTGACCTTGAACTCCTGAGCTCAAATGATCTGCCCACCTCAACCTCCCAAAGTGCTGGGATTACAGATGTGAGCCACTGCACCTGGCCTGAATTTTTTAAACATGTGTAACTTTAGGTAACACATATATATTACAAATACACACCATAGTTCACATAAATTAAGATGTGTTTACTGGAGTTATCCAGATGGCAGGCTTACAGGTCATTTCTTAATTGTCATAAAACATATATAACATAAAATGTGCAACCATCCGCACCATATCCAGAACTTGTTAAGCATTCTAAGCAGAAACTCTGTCCCTATTAGAAACTAAGTCATTCCTTCCCCCCAGTTCCTGGCAGCCTCTAATCTACTTTGTCTTTATGAATCTGACTGTGCCAGGCACACCTCAAGATTCATGGAGTCATACAGCATTTGTCCTTTTGTGATTGGCTTCTACCACTTAGAATAATGTCCTCAAAGTTCCTCCATGTTGTAGCATGTGTCACTTGCCTTTACAAGGCTGAGTAATATTCCATTGTACCGAAAGACGCACCTTGGTTTGTTTATCTACTCATCTAAGGACACGTGGGTTGTTTCCACCTTTTGCTGCTGTGGACAGTGCTGCGTGGACATGGACGTGCAATCTTTTGGCGTTCCAGCTTTCACTTCTTCGGGTGTACACCCGGAGGTGGAACACTGGATCCTAGGGTAGTAGTACTGTTTGAATTTCTGAATCGCCAGACTGTTCTCCACAGTGGTTGTGCCACCTTACATTCCCACCAGCAGTGCACAGTGGCACTGTTACTTTAAAATTCATATTTTCTTTTCATGGCTGCTGTGGAGGCTGCACTGTGGGCTTCTTGGTTTGTTCCTGACCTTGCTGGTGCCGTGTGCTGTGCTGCCAATGACCTTCCACAGCAATCTGAGAAAACCCTACACTCTGGACCAGGCTGGTGGTGGCCTGGGCGGGGGTGCTGTTTGCCCAGGCCTGGAGGGGTCTAGACGGCAGACCTGCACTGCACCCCAAGACGGGAGGTGGCAACTGAGGCCCCTCCTGCTGCCCTGGGGCAGGGAGGCTCCTGCAGAAAGTGGAAAACCTTAGTAAGGCACTTACCTCAATGGCCCCTCCCAGCGCAGGGCTTCCCGGTGACCTGGCCACAGCCGTGCCTGGAGGATGAGGTGAGGTTCATGTGGAGTCTGGACTCACTGCCTGTCGTCAGCAGGGAACGCAGGCCTGAGCACAACCCCAGAGAGCTGCTCACGGGGACAGCTCACCTAAGCTCTGGGAAGCAGCTCCGCGCAGGCCCTGGCCTGCCACAGGTAAGCCAGTGTAGGGCTGGGAACGCAGGAAGCCACAGGTGAGGCCTTTGGAGGCCGGTTCCTCCCACCCACGGACAGCTGCAGAGTTAACTCCCAAGGGCCCTCTGGGGTCAGGCCTGCAGCTGTTGGGAACTTCGAGCTCCCCTCTCGCAGGTTTCTCAATACTTTTCCAGGGAACACCTGCATAGAATAGGAAGTCAGGGTGGGAAGTGAAAGCTGCAGACCACTGGGCCTGGGCCAGGCCTCTGGATTCCAATAAAAGTTTGGTGCTGGGCCTGGGAACCTGCATCGCTGAGATGCATGCTCTAGTTTGGGGATTGCAGATTTGGGCAAAAGCCGGCCTCATTTTTTGGAATTCAGAGGCAGGAGTGTGGCCCCCCAGCTGTGGCTGCAGGGAGAGCTCCTGCCATCAGCCATGAGTAGGGTACATACCTACCAGGTCCCTGGAGCCCAGCAGAGGTTGAAAAGTGAAAAATGGGAGGTTCTGTTGAAGGCAAGGCTCACCTCGACTCCAGAGCCCGCCTCCCTGCTTGGCTGAGGGCCCTTCAGAGACGAGAGGGCTCCAGAAGTGCAGAACCACCCCCAGCTCCCCAGGGAGGCCTGGCCAGCTGGCATTCCCCCGTGAGGATGTCGCAAAGGGTGACGTGCTGAACGCCGCACGGACTCATTTAGTCCTCACCCCAGGAGGCAGCAGGGGCTGCATAGCTAACTGCCCCAGCAGCCCATGGGTTCTGAGGGGCAGGGGGGTCTTTTTAGACCCAGGTGGTCTCTGAACAATCTGGAAGGTGGAGAAATGACTGTTTAAAACACCCCCATACTGGCTGTGTGGGACTCCAGAACCCAGAAAGAACTTGTGGTGACTGGGCATTTGGGGGCTGTCCTTGGTCAGGTGCCTGGTCTCCAGGCAGGTGGCTCGGCAGGAGAGACACAGGGCTGAGCAGCCTGGTTCTGTCCCTGCCTCCTGGAGCTCCCTGCCCTTGAGGTTTTGGGTTTGTGAAAGAGTGACAGTGGCAGTGCCAAGCGACAGCTTCAGCACCCTCTGAGCACCACTCTTTGATGTCGACCGAATGTTTTCTCCATCCCGTGTGAGGTGGTTTCACACCTTCAGCCGCCTCTTCCAACCTGGCTGTCACCCTGGGGCTGGAGCTGCAGAGAATGAGGATCCGTCCTAGCAGGTGCTGGGCTGCAGGAGCCTGGAGAGCACAGGGGCTCTCAGCAGGGCTGAGGGGCATGTCAAGGAAGGGGATGGTGGGAGGGTGCCAGCTGAGGGCAATGCATGGGGCCTGGGCTCTGGGACCCTGATCCAGTGGATGTGAGTGCGGTGGTGAGCCTGCCATGCAGAGATGAGATTGCGCGGTGGGGCTGGGCTTCCTCCTGGAGTCAGGGGAAAGGAAAAGAGGCATCGCCTCTCTCTCATCACAGTATGACAGGTCATGGAGCTGAGGAAGCCCATGAAGTGAGGCTGCATCCTGGACAGCATGCCTAGGCCAAGGGGCAGGCAGCTTCTTCTACTGGCCGCACACTCACCTGGTGTGACCCCAACTATCTGTGGGGCTTTATTTTTTTTTAAACACTGTCTCTGTCGCCCAGGCTGGAGTGCAGTGCAGATCCTGGCTCACTGCAACCTCCACCTCCTGGGTTCAAGTGATTCTCCTGCCTCAGCCTCCTGAGTATTGAGTAGCTGGGATTATAGGTGTGTACCACCATGCCCGGTTAATTTTTGTATTTTTAACAGAGCGGGGGTTTCACCATGTTGGCCAGGCTGGTCTCAAACTCCTGGCCTCAAGTGATCCACCCGCCTCGGCCTCCCAAAGTGCTGTGATTACAGGTGTGAGCACGCCTAGCCTTATATGTCTCTTTAGAAGTGGCTCAGATCAAGTGATGTTGCGCAGGCTTTGGGTCTTAGACTGAAAGACTCATAGAAACTTTTTGCCCATTTTAAATTGCAGTTATCAGATGTTCTGAGCTCATTAACTACTGTACACTTACAGTTTTTACATTTTAGGATACGACTTTCTACTGACATCAAATTTATATTTTGCAGCACCTTGGACTAATTTTTGAATTTGGGATTAGCTGTGACACCCACCCCTCACCTCCGATTAATTGTATACTCAGAGCCATCGCAACTTAAGGCACAAGGGAGAGGGTGTGGGAAGAAACTCCCAGCCCCAGAGCTCAGGGTGTGATACTCAGGCTGACCAGTGACAGACTGCTGGAACCAGACCCCAATCTCACAGCTGCAGCAAAAGAGCCAGGCAGACGCAGCTGAAATCTGGCCAAAGACTCTCAGGCTCCAGGGAAATTAACCTACCCAATATGCAAACAGATGAACCAGCTCAGGGTTCCTGAGCTTTCCAACCCTCCTGGCTCCCAACACCAGGGGAAGAAAGTCTATTTCTGGCAAATAATTCTGGGGCTGAATCAATGCATTGCGAATAAGACAAAAATACTAAGAGTCTATTTTGAAAAGGGCTTCCATTCTGATCACCCCAACACCATGACTGTACAAACCAGTTTTATTAGGGAACTGCCCCAGGTGCACCTCTGGTTCATGCTCTTGTCACACCTGTTTCTCAGATCAGCCCAGGCTCAGAGGCAAGTTACTAGCTAAGCAAAGAGGAAAACTGTTCTGCAAAATAGCAACTGTCAGCTTAAGGCATTACTAACATTGCAGAAGGAAGCAAGATTTACTAGGGACATCTGGATAGCCCAGGACAATGACTTCTGGGAACAGGAAGCTCCCTAGGGCCAGATCGTGCTGCCATCCAACTTGGGAGATGACATTATCGTGCTGGGATGGTGGGTAACTCCTTCAAACCAATCCATGTCACAGAACACTGTCTATTCCTTGAGCTTTTGGATTTAGAAATTAGTTATATAAAAAGTACTCTTGGCCCAGAAGCCCCAACATGTGCGTGGGTCTCGGGGCACTCCCTCAGTCCTCCCTGGCTGGAGCAGGGGAGGATGGAGATACATGGAAGGTTGGTCAGGCTCTGTTTTAGAAATGAAGTCACGACTAGGAATTGGGAGCGAGGGGGCAGAGACCCCTGCTGCAATCACATGCTGAATCATTGTCCTTCTGAGAGCAGGCTCCTACGGTTCCTTCAGTCCACGGAAGTGCTCAGAGCAGGGCAGGCCACTGCGGCCATGGAGCTGCCGCCCCCTCACTGCATGCCGAACCACTGCTCCTGGTCAGCCCACTGGGCCGCCTCACTGTCGCTGCCCTCCAGGTCCCCTTCTTCCCCACTCCCTTCCATGTCGTCCACATCCTCCTCCTGAGTGGCATCCGTGGGACTCTCCTCCTTCTCCATCTTCTGCATCCCCTCTAGAGACTTCTGGTCATTGGGGTCCAAACTAGGGGACAACAAAACAAAGGAGAGGCCTGAATCTCTGCCTTGCTCTTGCTGGCTGATTCGTCATCTCCCTGGCCCGGCAGTGAAATGACCACACAGTCCCAAAAAATGTGCTAAAGCCTGGCCTCTCCAAACAACTCAGGCTTCCAAGGCTGGGTTGAGGGAGTCCACCACCAGAAGTGCAAAAAGGAGTCTCTTCCTAATTTTTAGAGTTCTCAATTTGAGTTTTTCTCCACAAATTTCTTAAACTTTTTCATACCTATTACCCCTAGCATTCTGCTAGAGGCGGCTACCAGATAACACAAATGAAAAAGTGGCAAACAAACATTACCAGGTAAATTCAAATGGAATTCCCAGAAAGTTGGGTTTTAGAGCTACAGGGTTACAAAAAATAGGAATTTCTCTGAGTATAGGTGTCCCATGTTCTTATGATGTAATTAAACATAGCAGCATTTCAGGAGCCAACCAAAAACATCACGCTGTACCATGGAACAGACTTGTAAACACCTAGGTCAGACCCCAGGACCCAAGGCTACCCCTACCCAAGCATTCACATTTAGCAGCTGAGTGTCAGTACATACGCCACCCCCACCCCCAAAGTTCAGAGCCTCTAGAACATTCATTTATTTGCCTCCTAAGCAATCTTTCCTCTTGCCTTAGTGACCATCACCCAAGCCAGCAGGCGTCCCACGCCTAGCAAACCCCACCTCTAATGGAAGTCTGATATTTTATTTTCTCACTTGCTTCTGAGATTCTAAAAAGCAGCTAAAACCCATGTTGGCACCGTTTCTACCGATATAAATGCGGACCGATCTGTAACATCTCCTCGTCTCCTGGTTGAAGCCTTCCACATCCTGTACTCTGAAGCTCTCACCCATACCCAGGGCTCCTGCCCTCTGGACTCCCACCTTCCCTTCTACAGACTACTATGAAAGCCCTTAGCACATGGCATGGCCAGTCTGCATGTCTGAGACTGACAGCTCCCGAAACATAGCATCTCCAGTTGTCACTGAGATGCTAGGCACACAAGTGGTGCTCAACTGTGTGCTGAACAATTGAATGTGATCAGACTCTATTAAAGACAGCCCTTCACCATAACCTTACAGACACACAGACAACCCTCAAAGAAACCACTTCTGTATTAAACAGTAAGAATACCACTATTTATTTAGCATTTACTATGTACCAGGCACAGGGCTAAGAGCTTTACATGAAATAATCATTTAACCCTCATTCGATCATTTAATATCTAATAAGGTAGCTAGATATAGACAAGGAAATGTGTTAGTAACTTGCCCAAGATCACAGGTGGTGAAGGTAGTATTCAAAACTTCAGACCTCAAGTTCTTAATGACTACAGTAGATAGAAACATGGGAAAGTACTTACAATACTTTGATTTGAAAAAGAAGAATATAAAATATATACTAGGTACAGCCCTATAAAAATATGTGTGTGTGGGCAAGGACAGAAGATGAGCTATACAAATGAACACAGATGTTATAGTGGTGTGGGATGGTTATGAGTGAAACAGTTCTCTAATGTTGTTAATATATTTTAAGAAAAAATTTTTAGAAGTCATGAATTCACAAATAACTCTTCTACCATTACTATTATTATTCTGCTTTCAACCATGGACACAAAGTGTGTGTGTGTTTCCATAACTCCTGTGACACAGCTCACTGCCTCCTCTACCCTCCTCAGTGGCCTTCCCCCAAGGGAGGCTAGTGCCTACCTTAGTGCTATACTATACTGGTCCATTGCCTCCTGATACTCATTGACAGCTACAAGGAAATCTCCTAGGATCCGATGCAGGACACAGTCACTCTGATTAGCCAGTGCGTTCCTCAGCAAAGCAATTCCATCTTCATATTTCTGTTCTCTGCCTGGGGGAATAAAAAAGACCCTCACTTAAGTCATGTACAAAAAAACCACAACTACCATTCTGACCATCTCTTTGCAGACATCCTCAAGAGAACACTGGTGCAACACAAAGCGAGGGCAAGCACACCTGAAGCCCTATTCAGTTAAGAAATTTTCCATCCTGGCTAACACAGTGAAACCCCGTCTCTACTAAAAATACAAAAAATTAGCCGGGCTTGGTGGCAGGTGCCTGTAGTCCCAGCTACTCGGGAGGCTGAGGCAGGTGAATGGCCTGAACCCAGGAGGCGGAGCTTGCAGTGAGCCGTGATTGTGCCACTACACTCCAGTCTGGGCAACAGAGCGAGACTCCATCTCAAAAAAAAAAAAAAAAAAGAAATTTGCAGTTTGAATTATAATGTTTTAAATGGGCTCTTAACTTTAAAAAGCCAAACTGCTTTGCCAACTAGCCCAAATTCAATGAACCAAATTATGAGTTTATCATAAATCAGGACTGAAAAAAAAAAAAAAGGGCCAAACGGGAAGTCATAAAATCATCCAGATAGCTCCACTCAAAATGGCTAAAATCAGTTAGTTATATTCAGCTCCAACTAATTCAGGACAACTCAAACCAGATAACAGTGAGCCGAGGCTGGGCACGGTGGCTCACACCTATAATCCCACCACTTTGGGAGGCCGAGGCGGGTGGATCACAAGGTCAGGATTTCGAAACCGGCCTGGCCAATATGGTGAAACCCCATCTCTACTATAAAAAAAAATAATAAAAAATAAAAAAATTAGCTGGGCATGGTGGTGCACGCCTGTAGTCCCAGCTACTCAGGAGGCTGAGGCAGAAGAATTGCTTGAACCCGGGAGGCGGAGGTTGCAGTGAGCTGAGATCGCACCACTGCACTCCAGCCTGGGTGACAGAGCAAGATGCCGTCTCAAAAAAAAAAAAAAAAAAAAAATTAGTGAGCCGAATAGATACCAACCAATTATAGGTGGTTGGAACCAAGCCAAGCAGATCTAAGCCAGCTACGTTTGGTTGGGCTAAATATAAACCAATCCAAGCAGGCTCAGACCTGCTGCAAAAGGCACACACCTGTCTAGTCATCTGTAACTAGCTGGGACAAGGGGCTCCAACTGAGGTCAGGTTTTATAAAAATTAATGATGAACAGGACAGAAAATAAGACACACTTACTAAGTAGTTCTGCTTTTTTCACCACAGCCTTAATGTAATCTGGCCTTTGGGTCAGGGCTTTATCTAATAATGTTTTGGCTTTCTCCTGTGTCACTGGGTCTTCAAGACAAACGGTGGCTAAAAGGGTAAGGGTCTGTGCATTTGCTCCCAGAGTTTTGTAAACGTTGTTAGCCATTACCATTGCTTCTCGAATACTGTTGGAGGCTAAGTAACATTCGATAAGACCTGAAAAAAGTAAAACACGTGAAGACATTCAATGCCATTACCATTCCAACCCATGCTTCCACTCTGACAGCTCTCCAAATTGCTAACCTTCAAAGTTTCAGACAAAGGGCAGGCCACGGGAAACTGATGGTGAGATTAGACTGGCAAGAGTGTTGATGGAATAGCTAAGAAGTGCTCTTCCCCAGAGAACTTGATGGATGTAGAAAAAGACTGCCTTCAAAGGCACCTTCAGTTTAGGGAAGGAAACAAGCACATGTAAGGAACCTGCAGCATGTGAGCACCCCATCTGACCACTGGAAGAATAAATGCGACACTAATGATTAGTCTGTCATATGGCCAAGAGATCAAAGTAGTGAGAGATGATGTTCCCAACAAAACCCAAGGTTTTGCTGCCTCTTAACAAGCAGTTATTCTCCAGCTGCATTCGGTCACCTGTAGGGCTAGGTTTAAGATGGAAGACTCCTAGGGTCTTTATTTTATTATTTATTTTTTTTGCGACAGAGTTTCACTCTCGTTGCCCAGGCTGGAGCGCAATGGCGCCATCTCGGCTCACTGCAATCTCCGCCTCCCGGGTTCAAGCGATTCTCCTCCCTCAGCCTCCCGAGTAGCTGGGATTACAAGCATGCACCACCACACCCGGCTAGTTTTGTATTTTTAGTAGAGACGGGGTTTCTCCATGTTGGTCAGGCTGCTCTCGAACTCCTGACCTCAGGTGATCCGCCCAGCTCAGCCTCCCAAAGTATTAGGATTACAGGCGTAAGCCACCGTGCCTGGCCTGGCTCCTAGAGTCTTAAAGTGAATTTACAGTTTGACAAATAAAGGACTTATTGTCAAGCAACTTAGGGAGAAAGACTCTTTTATTTGAAACGTAACAGCTGTCTCAAAAGGCACTTGCTGAGGGCTTCCCTAAACGAGATGAACAGTACTTACCACATGCACCAAACAGACTGCAACTGGCAGCCCTTGCCTCTTTCCACACCCACAGCGAGACGCCCTATGAGGAGGCCACCTTGAGAAGAGTCAACTCTCAACTCTTCATGCCAGTAAGTTGAGGAGAACAGAGGAATAACTTTTTGGCACAAAGTGCTCATCAAAACAAAAAAACAGCTTAAAACCCCAAACCCACACAATCCTTGGCAGATTTTCTCTGCATACTCCTCCACCCTAGCAGCATTTATAACATTCATGCACACCCTTCCACACACTATGGTTACTTAACCAGAAATTACCTAACTCTAACTATTTTTTTTTTTTTTTTTGAAATGGAGTCTTGCTCTGTCACCCAGGCTGGAGGGCAGTGGTGACATCTCGGCTCACTGCAACCCATGTCTCCTGGGTTCAAGCAATTCTCCTGCCTCAGCCTCCCAAGTAGCTGGGACTACAGGCGTGCACCACCATGCCTGGCTAAATTTGTTTCTATTTTTAGTAGAGATGGTAGTTCACCATGTTGGCTAGGCTGGTCTCGAACTCCTGACGTCAGGTGTTCCACCCGCCTCAGCCTCCCAAAGTGCTAGGACTACAGGCATGAGCCACCATACCCAGCCAATTACCTAACTCTTAAGGGCAACATGTTGGATTCCACATACAGTTGTTTGCAATTACTTACTGAATAGTTTTACTTCCCTGCTAAAGCCCTACTGGAACTTCAGAAAAAAACAGAATGCACTTGCCTAACCTAAATCTCTACCAGCAAAAGAAGGAAGCTCCAACTGGAAACTGTAAGAAATATCAAAGGGTGTAGTCAGAGTTGCCCTGACCTAAATCTCCAAATGGCAGCTTAAGAAGCCTCACTGGCCAACTGGGAAACATCCGCTGTCCAAATATTATAGGACGGACTATTCAACCGCATCCCTGAGCTCTGGTGAAATAGGCATGCAGTATAATGGAATTAACATGATTAACAGCAGCTGGGAAGACAGGGAAGTTACAGTTTCAGGATCAAGAAGTTAATCTGAAATCAATGGTTGGTTTGCTAGAGCTTCTTTCAGAACAAAGACAATACTCTTTCCCCCTCAACAAATCCAGAGGCATAGCTCTCTGGCTATATAAGCAGATTTGTTCTCTTTCCCAACATCCAAATTTTATTTCTCAAATTTGAACTCATCTTCCTGTTAAGAGCAAATCACTCCTAGACTCCTAGGTTTATTTTTAAATGCTTATAAAAATATGTTTTGGAGGAACTGCATCTTGTAAGATCTATTTTAATGTCTGTGACTGAGTCACCAAACGTTGCTGAAACTGGCACAGCTCCTTTGAACTCCCAGGGTCAATTCACATGAACTTAAAATATTACATAACAAAACAAAGTTGGACCCTGATTGTGCCCACTCTGGAGGTCACAATGAACAGACCCATTCCCACAGCCAACACTATCATATGGATGTGGAGTTATCCCACGAGTACTAACTCTGGCCCAAGGTAAGATGGCCACGAAAAAGAATAGGCCTAACAGGCCATGTACAGTGGTTCACGTCTGTAATCCCAGCACTTTAGGAGGCTGAATTGGGCAGATCACTTAAGCCCAGGAGTTCGGGACCAGCCTGGCTAACATGGCGAAACCCCATCTCTACTAAAAATACAAAAATGAGCTGGGTGTGGTGGTGTATGCCTGTAATCCCAGCTACTCAGGAGGCTGAAGCAGGAGAATCACTTAAACCCGGCAAGTGGAGGTTGCAGTGAGCTGAGATTGCACCACTGCACTCCAGCCTGGGTGACAGAGTGAGACTCTATCTCAAATAAAAATAAAAAAAATAGGCCGGTTGTGGTGGCTCATGCCTGTAATCCCAGAACTTTGGGAGGCCAAGGCAGGCAGCTCACGAGGTCAGGAGTTCGAGACCAGCCTGGCCAACATGGTGAAACTCCATCTCACTAAAAAATACAAAAATTAGCTGGGTGTGGTGGTGGGCGCCTATAATCCCAGCTACTTGGGAGGCTGAGGCAGGAGAATGGTTTGAACCCGGAAGGTGGAGGTTGCAATGAGCCAAGATCATGCCACTGCACTCCAGCCTGGGTGACAGGGCGAGACTCTGTCTCAAAAAAAAAAAAAAAAAACAGGACCCGGGCACGGTGGCTCACGCCTGTAATCCTAGCACTTTGGGAGGCCGAGGCGGGCGGATCACGAGGTCAGAAGATTGAGACCATCCTGGCTAGCACGGTGAAACACTGTCTCTACTAAAAATACAAAAAATTAGCCAGGTGTAATCCTAGCTACTGGGGAGGCTGAGGCAGGAGAATGGCATTAACCCGGGAGGTGGAGCCTGCAGTGAGCCGAGATCATGCCACTGCACTCCAGCCTGGGCAACAAAGCGAGACTCTGTCTCAAAAAAAAGAGGAGTAAGAGAAAAAAAATAGGCAAACTAAGTGATCTTGCATGGTGTCTGACACAGAGAGATTCATATTAATGAGTACGCCACACTGGATGGGGGCGAGCGGTGGGAGGACAAAAAAAAAAAACCCCATCCCAACTATACCCTCACCAAAAACCAGAAAAAAAATCAGAAAAAATGGATTATGAAAGTATGGGGTGACAAATCCAGTGAAAGCCCTAAATAAATGTAAAATGCCTAATGCAGTGGTTCCCAAACCTGTCTGCACATTGGTAACCCCTGGGGACCTCCAAAAATATCGATGTCTATTCCCAATTCCATGTATTTCCATCTACACTGGAGAGACCCAACGTCAGGATATTGAAAAGCTTCCCCGGATGATGTTTTTTTGTTGTTGTTGTTGTTGTTTTAATAGATGGAGTCTTGCTCTGTCGCCAGGCTGGAGTGCAGTGGCGCAATCTTGGCTCACTGCAACCTCCGCCTCCCAGGTTCAAGTGATTATCCTGCTTCAGCCTCCCAAGTAGCTGGGACTACAGGTGTGAGCCACCATGCCCAGCTAATTTTTGTATTTTTAGTAGAGACGGGGTTTCACCACGTTGGCCAGGATGGTCTCAATCTCTTGACCTCATGATCTGCCCGTCTCGGCCTCCCAAAGTGCTGAGATTACAGGTGTGAGCCACCACGTCCGGCCAGCTTCCCCAGATTATTCTAACAGAGTTTGGGAAGTGCTGGCCTAATGAAACCTTCCATCTGAGGGCTGCTGCCACACCCACGGATTCACACCATTCACCTATGTTTTCTTTCTTACCTTCATAACAATCTAAGCGACAAGGTGCGAGCCGTATGGCCTCCCGAAAGTGGATTATTGCTTCTTGGACTCTGCCCATGTTCCTAAGTGCTGCTCCCTTAAGTAGCAGAGCTTGAACACTATTACTGTTCAGCTGAATGGCCTTGGCTCCTAAATAGAGGGCCCGGGAGTAGCGTTTGCTATAGAAGCTGTGACAGCTGGAGAAAAAAAAAAAAAAAAAAACACAAAAACCCCAGAAGTTATCCAAGAGAAGACTACAAAGAAAGTTGATCCAAAAATCATATTGAAGGCCCTGAACATAATCCTTATTCCAAACCACACTTATAGTTTTAACCTAAGATATTAGTAGAAAAGCAAAACAAACCAAAAAATCCACTATTTATTTTTAAGGGGAAATCTTGATATGGAAGAGAAAAATTATGAAAAAGAACCTATGATCTGGATATTAGTTATTAGCAGAGAGGCATTCAGAGAATTTGTAAAGCCAGGTTAATAAACAAAGGAGCATCTTCTGGCCCCATCACTGATGGCTCAGTACTAAGCACAATGCATTCACCAACTCAGTTAATGCTTAACCCTAGAAGGAGAGGTTATTAGCCCATTTTCCAAATGAGAATACAGACCTAGATAGGTAAATAATGCATCCAGAGTCATAAACTATTATTTGAATCCAGGGCTGATTATCCTTTTAAAAAAAAAAAAAAAAAAAAATATATATATATATATATATATATATATATATATTTATAGAGACAGGGTCTTGCTACATTGCCCATGCTGGTCTCAAATTTCTGGCCTCAAGTAATTACCTCTTTTTATTTTTATTTATTTATTTTTGAGACAAAATCTCACTCTGCCGCCCACCTGGAGTGCAGTGGCACGATCTTGGCTCACTGCAACCTCTGCCTCCTGGGTTCAAGCAATCCACCTGTCTCAGTCTCCCAAAGTGTTGAGATTACAGGCATGAGCCACCATGCCTGTCCAGGTGATTACCTCTTAAACCTGTGCTTTCAATTTATATTCTCTTCAAGAGCAACCATTATCTCTTAATCTACTGACAACTGGGGAGAAAAGAGAATGCATAATCATACCCAGAAACCACCCACGGTTCTGCATGCTGATCAGAGATATTGAAAAGGCGGCATCCAAGGTTCTCAACATCCTCTAGCCGCCCTTCTCGTGCCAGTAGGTAGCCATATACATCCATTCCTAGAAGAGAAGGACATAGTGAGAAGAGGTGTTTTAAGAAGAGAAGCAGGGGTCCCACATACAGGAGTAGCACCCAACATCAGACCCCATGCTGAGGCCCCAGCTCCTGCAGGGGCTAAGCCCTTTCCACCATCACAGGCTCCTCCAACTACTATTTCCAGTTTCCTACAAAGTGACTATTAAAATGCAAAACCCAGGTTGGGCACAGTGGCTCACACCTGTAATTCCAGCACTTTAAGAAGCCGAGGCAGGTGGATCACGAGGTCAGGAGATCGAGACCATCCTGGCTAACACGGTGAAACCTCATCTCTACTGAAAATACAAAAAATTAGCCGGGCATAGTGGCACGCGCCTGTAATCCCAGCTACTTGGGAGGCTGAGGCAGGAGGATCACTTGAACCAGGGAGACAGAGGTTGCAGTGAGCCGAGATCACGCCACTGCACTGCCTGGGTGACAGACTGAGACTCTGTCTCAAAAAAAGAAAATGCAAAACCCAGCTGGGCGTGGTGGCTCACACCTGTAATCCTGGCACTCTGGGTGGCAGAGGCAGGAGGATCACCTGGGCCCAGGAGTTCAAGACCAGCCTGGGCAATATGGTGAGACCCTGTCTCTAAAGAAATTTTAAAATATCAGCCAAGTGGCCAGGTGCAGTGGTTCATGCCTGTAAACCCAGCACTTTGGGAGGCCAAGGAGGGCAGATCACGAGGTCAGGAGTTCGAGACTAGGCTAACAGGTGAAACCCCATCTCTACTAAAAATACAAAAATTAGCTGGGCATGGTGGCGTGTGCCTGTAATCCCAGCTACTCAGGAGGCTGAGGCAGGAGAATCGCTTGAATCAGGGAGGCGGAGGTTGCAGTGAGCCAAGATCGTGCCACTGCACTCTAGCCTTGGCTACAGAGCGAGACTCCGTCTCAAAAAAAAAAAAAAAAAAAAAAAGAAAAAAAAAAGAAAAAAGAAGGGCCAGGCGCGGTGGCTCATGCCTGTAATCCCAGCACTTTGGGAGGCTGAGGCAGGTGGATCACGAGGTCAGGAGTTCAAGACCAGCCTGGCCAAGATGGTGAAACCCCGTCTCTACTAAAAATACAAAAAATTAGCCAGGCACAGTGGCAGGCGCCTGTAATACCAGCTACTCGGGAGGCTGAGGCAGGAGAATTGCTTGAACTCAGAGGGCGGATGTTGCAGTGAGCCGAGATTGCACCACTGCACTCCAGCCTGGGCAACAGAGTAAGACTATGTCTAAAACATAAAATAAAATAAAGTAAAATAAAATAGAAAGAAAAAAAAATTAGCCAAGCACAGTGGCACATGCCTGTGGTCCCAGCTACTCAGGGGGCTAAGGCAGGAGGATTGCTTGAGCCCAGGAGGTCAAGGCTGCAGTGAGCTATGTTTGTGCCACTCCCGCCTGAGTGACAGAGTGAGACCCTGTCTCTAACAACAAAACCAAAACCAAAACCAAAGGAGGCCGGGCACGGTGACTCATGCCTATAATCCCAGCACTTTGGGAGGCCGAGGTGGAAATTCAAGACCAGCCTGGCCAAGATAGTGAAACCCCATCTCTACTAAAAATACAAAAACTAGCCAGGCGTGGTGGCACACACCTGTAATCCCAGCTACTCAAGAGGCTGAGGCAGAAAATTGCTTAAACCAGGAGGTGGAGGTTGCAGTGAGCCGAGATTGCACCACTGCACTCCAGCCTGTGAGACTCTGTCTCACAAAAAAAAAACAAAAAAAAACAAAAAAAACAAAAAACCAAAGGAGCAGAACAACCTACCTCACAATTTGAAAGCCTGCTATTTTCAGGAAGTGCTTGTCCTTCTATCCTGTGGTGTGATACACAGCTACCCTAACCCAACCAGAAAAGGCCCAAAAAAGGCATCAACTAAGGTCTCTCTTCCCAGAGTTCTAGACCATCAGAAATACACTGCTGAAAAGCCAATCAGTCTCAGAAAAAGTTGGCCTATTCCAGAAAAAAGCTTGTAGTTCTATCCAGAATGCAGTTCATTAAAGATCACTGCCTCGGGCTGGGTGCAGTGGCTCAGGCCTGTAATCCCAACACTTAGGGAGACTGAGGCGGGTGGATTACCTAAGGTCAGGAGTTGCAGACCAGCCTGGCTAACATGGTGAAACCCCCGTCTCTTCTAAAAAAATACAAAAATTAGTTGGGTGTGGTGGCGGGCGCCTATAATCCCAGCTACTCGGGAGGCTGAGGTGGGAGAGTCACTTTAACCAGGAGGCGGAGGTTGCAGTGAGCAGAGATTGTGCCACTGCACTCCTGCCTGGGCGACAAGAGTGAAACTCCGTCTCAAACAAACAAATAAAAAATCACTGCCTCTCCGCAGCCCCCGCTTTATTCTCACCCACATTCTATAAAAAGGGACCTATGCTCACTGTTACCCATCTCTTGCCACCATTCTCTTCCATCCCTTGCTATCCCTTCAGATTCCCATGAAAATTCCTCTCAAGCCAAGATTACTGCAATGCTCCTGCTAGCCCCTGGGCCTGGGTCTGAGATTCCAAGCTGCCATTGCCATTCCAAGCTGCCAGCTGTTGCCAGACTAGTATTTCTAAAACATCATTTTCATCATGGGTGCAGGCAGCTTGGAGAAGAGGAATAAGCACTTGAGGTGAGGGGAGATCTTGTGCAAACAAATCCATCCTTCTAGATCTGCTTCCTCATCTAAACGCTTGGGATGGCCCCTTCCCAGCTCCATCATTCCCCTGGCTTAAGAGCTCATAAGACTGTTTATTGTCACAAGGCCCTGTTTTTCTGATGGCCTTTTTTGGACCTTTACAAATAGACAGCATATCTATCTGACCTTATTTCCCACTATTCCTGAGAACTCACTGCCAGTGTCCTAACTGCCATCTGTTGGAGGTCCCTGTGAAGATTACCCTTCACCTGCAATCTTTTTCAAGATCAGTGATTTTTCTGTTGTTCACGCCTAATTACTGCCTTTAATCACCTTATCCCTTTCTTATTCCTTTTTAATTATACTAAGGACATGGCAAAACAAAATTCCCTAAAAGGATATTATGGTTTTAGGGATGCCATCCAAATTCTCAGTCAGGCACACCATAAATTTATAAGTCATAAGGAGGAGCTATGACCCCCTCAAAAGAAAAAAAGCCAAATAATGATCTGTGGGGAGAAGACACTTGAATTCAAGCAAAAACAGCTGCTCAAATGGTATTACCTAAGCGTTAGAGACATGTGTCATGACCTAAAAAAAGTAAAAGACTAGTATAAGTTTTATACACCATTTCTATGAAACTTGGTATCGAGTATTAATGCTGCATATTCTCCCTATTATCTCTGATCCCCCCCAACAACAGCCACTGTCTTCCTGCCCCAAGAATTACTTACCTTTTATCAGATAAGGATCCAACATCTGTGCCTGTTCAAACTTGAGGACAGAGTTTTTATTGTCTCCAGCTCTGAAGTACAGATCTGCCAAGCTTCCCAATAGGTCCACGTTATCTCGCAATAAGGATTTTTTCTCTAGTGAACTTTAAGATATTTATTAAACATTGAACCTTTAAATCTATTATAAATCCTCTTAGTTGCTGAATCTGGATGATTGGTCATACAGATACTATTTTCTTTTGCATAAATATAAAATTCTTCGTAATAAAAAACTTTAAGCTTATGACTTTAAAAAAAGTTATATAGGACAGGATAGCAAAAACAAAGAATAAAGCAGAAGTCTCTCAGTACCAACAAATAACTCTGTGGTTGCAGTTCTTCAGAACACAACATACGCTACATGGTGTTAAAGGTAATGTCATTCACAAGTGACACCTATTTATTACTCAAGTAAACGACTTTGCATAACACAAGCCCAAGTCTCTTCTTGTCCTTGAACTTTATCTGAATATAAAGAAAATCCCTAGTCCTAAGCAGGCAAGCTAGGTTAGACACTGCAATAAACCAAGCTTCTGGTGAGTGCAAAATGATTTTCTTCCAGGCTGAAGAATGATACACCAAGGCCAGGCATGGTGGCTCACGTCTATAATCCCAGCACTTTGGGAGGCCCACGTGGGAGAATCACTTGAGCCCAGGAATTCAAGACCAGCTTGGGCAACATGGTGAAATCCCATCTCTACAAAAACATACAAAAATTAGCTGGGTGTGGTGGCATGCGCCTGTAGTCCCAGATACTCAGGAGGCTGAGCAGGAGGATGGTTTGAGCCCGGGAGATTGACAGGTCAAGGCTACACTGAGCTGTGACTGCGCCACTGCACTCTAGCCTGGGAGAGAGAGAGAGAGAGAGAGAGACAGAGAGACAGAGAGACAGAGAGAGAGAGAGAGAGAGAGAGAGAGAGACAGAGAGAGAGAGAGAGAGAGAGACAGAGAGACAGAGAGAGAGAGAGAGGCAGAGAGAGAGAGAGACAGAGAGAGAGAGACAGAGAGAGAGAGAGACAGAGAGAGAGAGAGAGAGAGAGAGAGAGAGAGAGAGAGAGAGAGAGAGACCGACCTTGTCTCAAAAAAAAAAAAAAAAATGACACACCAAGGTAGCCTGCTTTGCTTTGCAAGGGTTACTACCTGTGCAGGCACAGAGCTAAACTCAGTCAGATTTCTATTTTTACAGGTCTCCAACAGAGATGATTACATGATTACATTTGGGACCATTCAGTATAAAAGACTAACACATCCCAGAGACTGGCTGCAGCACCAACAGCAAAGCATCTCATTTTTCTTTTTGCTACTTCAGATACATCAGACTTCCAGACAAGCAAAGGGCCTCAAGAACACTGAATTAACTTTGTGGCTCTCACCAGATGGTACTGATTGCTCTTGAGTTGTCACCAGTGTGCACAAAAGCATACGCTTTGATCCACACAGAGAGCCAGTCCAAGTTAGGCACGGTTTGGATCACATTCATTGTCATGGATGCCACCTCTGCCCCTTTTACAGAAAGGGACAACAAGCCTAAACCAACAGAAAGCAGAAGAAAGAAAGTAAGGCACGATATCTCTCTTCCACATGCAAGGAGCAACGGGCTACATCTTCCCTTGGCTAAAAGGCAACTGCTTCCCTATTCTGAGCGATGCATGAGAGAAAAACCATAATTTAGTATTTCTTTTCTTTTTGAGACAGTGTCTTGTTCTGTCCCCCTGGGCTGGAATGCAGTGGCACAATCTCAGCTCACTGCAACCTCTGCCTCCTGGGTTCAAGCGATACTCATGCCCCAGCCTTCCGAGAAGCTGGGACTACAGGCACGCGCCACCATGCCTGGCTAATTTTTGTATTTTTAGTAGAGACGGGGTTGTGCCATGTTGCCCAGGCTGGTCTCGACCTGCTGAGCTCAGGCAATCCACCCACCTCAGCCTCCCAAGGTGCTAGAATTACAGGTGTAAGCCACCATGCCCGGCCAAAAACCATAATTAAGTATTTCTTGATTGAATATGTGACAACAGGAATCCTACTAAATCACTCTCTTCAGGGGAACTTTTAAAAAAAATAAAGTTATTCTAATGTACAGGCAAGATTGAGAACTACTATCTTTGACAGTAAACATGCCATGAAAACAGGCAGGAAATATCTCTACCTAGAATGGCATCAAGGGCTAATGGGCACTGCCTCAGCACCTCCTTATAGCTGGTGACTGAAGGGCGCTCCTGACCAGCCTTCTTGTACAGGTTTGCCAGCATCATGTTTATCTGTACAAACACAAATAACAGATAGCAAAATAAGCGTATATTGCAAAGAAAATCTCTCACCATGAAAAAGTCCTAATTTTCATTACCAGTTATTTACTTTTTACTGGAAAATCTACCCACAACCCTGTGCAAATAAAGGCAGACTGACCCCATTCTTCAAAAGAAAGAAGAAATTGGCCAGGTGCAGTGGCTCACGCCTGTAATCCCAGCACTTTGGGAGGCCGAGGTGGGTGGATCACGAGGTCAGGAGATTGAGACCATCCCGGCTAACACAGTGAAACCCCGTCTCTACTAAAAAATACAAAAAAATTAGCTGGGCGTGGTGGCGGGAGCCTGTAGTCCCAGCTACTCGGGAGGCTGAGGCAGGAGAATGGTGTGAAACCGGGAGGCGGAGCTTGCAGTGAACCGACATCACGCCACTGCACTCCAGCCTGGGCTACAGAGTGAGACTCCATCTTAAAAAAAAAAAAAAAAAAAAAGAAAAGAAAAGAAATTACTACCCTTCCTTTCCCTAGCTCCTGCCTTCCCTAAGAGGAAAGTCACATTACCTTCCCACAAGGCCCAGTAATATCTGAACAAAAGACGCTGCCCTCTGGAAACTGGAATAACATTCATTTAAGAAATGGTAGAGAACGCTAGTTAACTTGATTCTTTCTTGATCTTAAAACAGAAGATGAACTATCTCACATAAGAAAGTGAGAAACTCTTGACATAGCTAGTTAAGAAGGATCAGCTCAGTTTTTCCTAATAAGGAAATGATACAGAAAGACAGATAAAGAAGTATAATACTTGGCTTTTCTTTGACAATTCGACTTGTGGCTAGACTCTAGCCTTTCTAACACTTAAGGCTTTGGCCCGTAGGTACTAACTCACTAAAGTAATGCTACAAAAATCAGCTACACTATTTAAATCCAGTGAGTGCAGACAGCTGCATTTTAGCGTAATTTAAATATGTAACTTTGTAAAGCTAAATTAAAATAATCCTACCTAACATGCAACTGGGAAATGAGAAAATCTAAAAGTTCTGGCCGGGCGCAGTGGCTCATGCCTGTAATCCCAGCACTTTGGGAGGCCGAGGTGGGTGGATTACGAGGTCAGGAGATTGAGACCATCCCGGCTAACACAGTGAAACCCCGTCTCTACTAAAAAATACAAAAAATTAGCTGGGCGTGGTGGCGGGCGCCTGTAGTCCCAGCTACTCAGGAGGCTGAGGAAGGAGAATGACGTGAACCCGGAAGGCAGAGCTTGCAGTGAGCCGAGATCGTGCCACTGCACTCCAGACTGGGAGACAGAGCGAGACTCCGTCTCAAAAAACAACAAAAAAAACCCACAAAAACAAAAAAAAAGCCAGAAAATCTAAAAGTTCCTAAGAATGTAGAAGTTATAGGCAAGTGATAAAAGACCTTCCTAATAGTACACAGATAAACACAATATTCCAATTTAAAATTAGATTTTTTTTTTTGAGACGGAGTTTCACGCTTGTCACCCAGGCTAGAGTGCGATGGCACGATCTCAGCTCACTGCAACCTCTGCCTCCTGGGTTCAAGTGATTCTCCTGCCTCAGCCTCCTGAGTAGCTGGGATTACAGGCACCCGCCACCACGCCCAGCTAATTTTTTTTTTGTATTTTAAGTAGAGATGGTGTTTCACCATGTTGGCCAGGCTGGTCTTGAACTCCTGACCTCAGGTGATCCAACCACCTCGGCCTCCCAAAGTGCTGGGATTACAGGCGTGAGCCACCGTGTCTGGCAAAATTAGTAGATTTTAAACACAACAGTATTTGCTAGATCATTAACCTAAGGAAGCAGTCAATGTGAGGGCACAAAAGAAAAAAGGTCAACCCCCAATCTCTTCGATTTAACTGTGGCTTGGTATGCCAGATATTTATAGAAAGAGTGGCTCTAAAGATAAAGAACATCTGTTCCAATTATAGACCTACATTATATAAAACAATCTAATATAGCATTGATTCACACTAATTCAAACAATGGAATAATGAAATACTAAAAATAAAACTATTTTTTACTTGGCCTCAGATTTTCCATATTAGGCTACTATTTTGAAAATGCAAAGAAAAATACTTAAAAGGAAAACTCCAGGATTGATGTCAATACTTGTAAAGAATAAAAAGTTAAATTTAAGATCCTTTCTTGACTGCTGGTTATATTAACAAACTATGACTGATGGACTATCTTTCTCAACAAATATCAAAATTTCCTTTAAGCTACTTGACTGTCACTTTAAAAGAATGAGTTTTGAGTAATACCTAATGAAAAAGTCAATTATTGGCCGGGCGCAGTGGTTCACACCTCTAATCCTAGCACTTTGGGAGGCCGAGGTGGGTGGATCACGAGGTCAGGAGATCGAGACCAGCCTGGCCAACATGGTGAAACCCCGTCTCTACTAGAATACAAAAAATTAGGCAGGTGCAGCGGTACGCGCCTGTAGTACCAGCTACTCAGGAGGCTGAGACAGGAGAATCGCTTGAACCCAGGAGGTGGAGGTTGCAGTGAGCTGAGATCATGCCATTGCACTCCAGCCTGGGCAACAGAGAGAGACTCCATCTCAAACAAACAAACAAAAAAAGTCAACTATTTTAAAAATAGATACTCACTTAAAAACATCATAAAGCCACATTCCACCAGTTATAAACACAAGCAGTCATCATTTTCTAAAAACTGAGTAAGAAATTCTATGTTGGTATGTTTACTCTTAAAAGGTGAAGATTTACCAAGATTTAATAATCTAACACTGGAATTTTCCTTTAAAATGTGAGGGAATATGTGGCGATGTTTACCATATATTAACAGACATTCATTTAGACACATTTTGACTCACTTCCTTGTCCTTTACATAGACTGAGAAGCCAGTTAACTCCCTAACAGACAAGAAAGAAAAACTGTAAATGTTATAGGTTTATGTTTGAGGCACACATCTTTGCTCCTAGCTGTAAGAGCACTACAGAATGAAGGATATGTACTGCTGACAAATGCAGACTCATACAGGTGCTCTAAGAATGATGGCAATGAAAATCAAGCAGTGGATGCTATAAAGCTGAGATGCTTTAACATTACTATTTTCAAAAAAAAGTCCTACAAATATCCACAGGTCATTATGAAGGAGATTATGGTATATTTCTAATAAAGTAAGGAATAGTATCCTTCAAAGTTTATAATTAAAATGGCTTCTTGGCCGGGCGTGGTGGCTCATGCCTGTAATCCCAGCACTTTGGGAGGCCAAGGCAGGCGGATCACCTAAGGTCAGATCGAGACCATCCTGGCCAACATGGTGAAACCCCGTCTCCACTAAAATGCAAAAAAGTAGCTGGGCGTGGTGGCACACGCCTGTAGTCCCAGCTACTCGGGAGGCTGAGGTAGGGGAATCGCTTGAACCCGGGAGGTGGAGGTTGCAGTGAGCCAAGATTGTGCCACTGCACTCCAGCCTGGCAACACAGCAAGACTCCACCTCACAAAAAAAAAAAAAAAAAAAAAAAAGGCTTCTTACAAAAGGAAGATACCTTGAGCATTGCAGCAGACATTCTTCATCTGTGCAACAAGATTATTCTTGGAGTAAGAGAAGACTTTCATAGGTTACCAGAACAGGATTTAGTATACAGCATCCAGGCTTATGATGAGAGAGGTTAATTCATAATAAACTTTCAAGTGTTTTTAATAGCAGCCACCATCATACTGAAGAAATAGCTTCAAAAACTCAGAAAATAGTAAATAATACCTTAATATGAGGAGGTGCTTAAACATGTTCTCATCAAGTTTGGTTACTTTTAAAGTTCAGCAAGACTTGGATGAAGCAGCACTAACTAAAATACACCAGGCCCCTACTGCTTAGATTTCGTATCTTTTAAAGGCAGGAGGATGCACCTGTCATTTTACCTATAAAATTCCTTATTGTTAAGCACAAGTTGCACAAAACAGTTTTTCAATAAAATGAGCAAGGCAGGAGACATGACAGTATTATTAGAATATTAAATACTGATATATTCTCACATTCATGAATTTATTTGGTATTTATAAAAGTAACAGAAAAAATACTATTCTTCTCATTTTATAAATAAAAAAGTAGTAAAGCTCACAAATTGGTAACTTGCCCAAGTTCACACTGCACACAGCTTGTATGCACCTAAACTCAAACTAGACACCAGATCTTTTTTTGTTTGTTTTTTTGTTTTTTTTGAGATGGAGTTTCACTCTTGTTGCCCAGGCTGGAGTGCAATGGCACCACGTCGGCTCACCGCAACCTCTGCCTCCTGGGTTCAAGCGATTCTCCTGCCTCAGCCTCCAGAGTAGCTGAGATTACAGGCATGCGCCACCACACCCGGCTAATTTTATATTTTTAGTAGAGACGGGGTTTCTCCATGTTGGTCAAGCTGGTCTCGAACTCCCAACCTCAGATGATTCACCCACCTCGGCCTCCCAAAGTGCTGGGATTACAGGCATGAGCCACCATGCCCAGCCGACACCAGATCTTTTGATTTTAGTTAAAGGTGTTTTCTTCACTATAATATGCTGCCAAATCAAACACAAAGACATATTCTACACATAAATAAGGATAAAAGAATCTTACAGTATTAATTTTCAAAACAAAGGAATAAAACCACCCCCATTACCAAATGTGTACACCTATGGAAGGCAAAAAATGAAGTTCTAAAAAAGTATTTTTGCCACCTGGAAGTGTTTTGCAAATAAATCATTATTTCCTATAATAAGAAATATCAAAGTCTTCTCTGCCTATGGAGTAGCCATTCTTTATTCCTTTATTTTATTAATAAACTCACTTTCACTTAAAAACAAAAACAAACACAAGGAGGCCAGGTGCAGTGGCTCCTGCCTGTAATCCCAGCAATTTGGGAGGCTAAGGGGGGAGGACAACTTGAGCCCAGAAGTTTGGGACCAACCTGGGCAAATGGTGGAGACCATCTCTATTTAAAAAAAAGAAAAAAAAAATTGGCCGGGCATGGTGGCTCCCACCTGTAACCCCAGCACTCTGTGAGGCCGAGGTGGGTGGATCACCTGAAGTCGGGAGTTCAAGACCAGCCTGACCAACATGGAGAAACCCAGTCTCTACTAAAATTACAAAATTAGTTGGGCATGGTGGCGCATGCCTGTAATCCCAGCTATTTGGGAGACTGAGGCAGGAGAACTGCTTGAACCCGGGAGGCAGAGGTTGCAGTGAGCTGAGATTGCACCATTGCACTCCAGCCTGGGCACCAAGAGCGAAACTCCCTCTCAAAAAAAAAAAAAAAAAAAAAATAGCCGGACATGGTGGCTCACGCCTGTAATCCTAGCACTTTGGGAGGCCGTGGCAGGCGAATCACAAAGTCAGGAGTTCGAGACCAGCCTGGCCAACATGGTGAAACACCATCTCTACTAAAAATACAAAAAAAAAATTAGCTGGGCGTGGTGGCGGGTGCCTGTAATCCCAGCTACCCAGGAGGCTGAGGCAGGAGAATCACTTGAACCCGGGAGGTGGTGGTTGCAATGAGCCGAGATCGCACCACTGCACTCCAGCCTGGGCAACAGAGCAAGACTCTGTCTCAAAACAAAAAAAACAAAACAAAAATAAAAAATAGGCTTGGAGTGGCATCTCACACCTGTAATCCCAGCACTTTGGGAGGCCAAAGTGGGAGGACAGTTTGAGCCCAGGAGTTTGAGACCAACCTGGGCAACACAGTGGAACCTTATCTCTACCAAAAATAAAAAAAATTGGCCAGGTGCGGTGGCTCCCGCCTGTAATCCCAACACTTTGGGAGGCCGAGGTGGGCGGATCACCTGAGGTCAGGAGTTCAAGACCAGCCTGGCCAACATGGCAAAACCCCATCTCTACTAAAAATACAAAAAAATTAGCCTGGCGTGGTGGCAGGCGCCTATAATCCCAGCTACTCGGGAGGCTGAGGCAGGAGAATCACTTGTACTTGGGAGATGGAGGTTGCAGTGAGCCCCCATGCTATTGCACTCCAGCCTGGGCAACTTTGCAGTGAGCCCCCATGCTATTGCACTCCAGCCTGGGCAACAAGAGTGAAATTCCACCTCAAAAAAAAAAAAAAAAAAAAAAAAAAATTAGCTGGGTGTGGCAGCATGCAACTGTAATCCCAGCTATTTGGGAGGCTGAGGTGGGAGGATTGCTTAAGCCTGGGAGGTTGAAGCTGCAGTGAGCCAGGATCACAACACTGTACTGTAGCCTGGGTGACAGTGAGACTCTGTCTCAAAAAATATTAAATTAAGTTAAACATAAAAAATAAAAAAGAAAAAACAAAGAATAAGCATGTGTAGTATTCTCCAGCTATCATTTTCATCAGCTGGATTTTCAGGGTCCCCCACCCCCACTCCATGAAGAGGAAGAAAATGAGAATTAGAATCATGGGTAAAATGTTCACACGGACTCCTTAATGCATGAGAAAACATGGAGAGAGGGAGCAGGGTTAGGAGAGCTGAGGAGAAAAACACATAAACATTCAACTTACTTTGGGAGTTCTTTGTCTTGAAGGGATCCCATCAAGTATAGCAATGGCATCTTTATCTTGTTTTAGCATTGTATAACATTCAGCCATTTTGTATTTCACTTCAATTTCAGATGGAAGACACTAAAAGACAATGGAAATATTTCTTTGAAACGTTATTCCAACAATATGACAGTTCTTCAAAACGTTAAACATAGAGTTATCATATGACCCAGCAATTCTTTTTTTTTTTTTTGAGACAGGGTCTCGCTCTGTTGCCCAGGCTGCAATGCAGTGGTGCAAACATGATTTACTGCAGTCTTAGACTCCTAGTCTCAAGCGATCCTCCCACCTTGGCCTTCTGAGTACTACAGGTATGTGCCACCATGCCGTTTTGTAAAGACAGGGGTCTCACTATGTTGCCAAGGCTAGTCTCAAACTCCTGACCTCAAGTCCTCCTACCTCCGCCTCTGGAAGTGCTTGGATTACAGGTGTGAGCCACTGTGCCTGGCCTCATCTTCTTTTTTTTTTTTTGAGACAGAGTCTCGTTCTGTCACCCAGGCTGGTGTCTCCTGCCTCAGCCTCCCAAGTAGCTGGGACTACAGGCATCCACCACCATGCCTGGCTAATTTTTTGTATTTTTAGTAGAGACGGCGTTTCACCGTGTTAGCCAGGATGGTTTCAATCTCCTGACCTCGTGATCCGCCCGCCTAGGCCTCCCAAAGTGCTGGGATTACAGGCGTGAGCCACTGCGCCCAGCTTCTGGCCTCATCTTCTACATCTAATCAGCTATCATCTAAATCAGCGGTCCCCAACCTTTTTGGCACCAGGGGACCAGTTTCATGAAAGACAATTTTTCCACAGATGGGGGGTGAGGGGGTGGTTTCAGGATGAAACTGTTCCACCTCAGATCTTCAGGCATTAGTCAGATTATAATAAGGAACACACAACCTAGATCCTAGCATGTGTAGTTCACAATAGGGTTTGTGTTCCTATAAGAATCTAATGCCGCAGCTGATCTGACAGGAGGCGGAGCTCAGGCAGTAATATTCACTAGCCCTCCACCCACCTCCTGCTGTGCAGCCTGGTTCCTAACAGACCAGGCACTGGGGCCTGGGGACCCTGTTCTAAATTCTTGGAGTCTTTCTCAAAAAAAAAAAAAAAAAATCACAATTCTATCTCCAATTACCTGACTTTGTGGAGTAGATGCAGAATTTCCAGTTGAAGGTCTCACTTTTGAAGTTTTACTTAGCGCTTTCTTCTGCTGTAAAGCCATGGTATACTTACTCACAGCATTCCGATATTCCTTATCATGAAAGAGAGAATCTGCATGATACACCAAAAGCTGGTACTTCTGAGGTGGGGAGAATAACTCACTAGAAAACAAGAGAAAATGTAATACATCTTTTCCTCCCTTTCAATCCAAGCTCCCCCAGCTTCTTTTTTTTTTTTGAAATAGATTCTCACTCTGTCACCCAGGCTGGAGTGCAGTGGCACGATCTCGGCTCACTGCAACCTCCACCTCCCGGGTTCAAGTGATTCTCCTTCCTCAGCCTCCCGAGTAGCTGAGATTACAGGCACATGGCACCACACCCAGCTAATTTTTGTTTTTTTTTTTAGTAGACATGGGGTTTCGCCATGTTAGCCAGGCTGGTCTCAAACTCCCGACCTCAAGTGATCTACCTGCGTCGGCCTCCCAAAGTGCTGGGATTACAGGCGTGAGCCATCATGCCTGGCCACCAGGCCCTTTTAACAGTCTGAGATATATCTATCCATATTCTCATATTAAGATGAAGTACAGAGAAACCTCACCACTTTGAATCCTTTTTAAAAACAGGCTGCACAGGCTGGGTGCGGTGGCTTACGCCTGTAATCCCAGCACTTTGGGAGGCTGAGGGGGGCGGATCTCGAGGTCAGGAGATCGAGACCATCCTGGCTAACGCGGTGAAACCCCATCTCTACTAAAAAATACAAAAAATTAGCCAGGCGTGGTGGCAGGCGCCTGTAGTCCCAGCTACTTGGGAGGCTGAAGCAGGAGACTGGCATGAACCCAGGAGGCCTGTAGTGAGCCGAGATCATGCCACTGCACTCCAGCCTGGGCGACAGAGCCAGACTCCGTCTCAACAACAACAAAAAAAAACCAATGCACAAAAAGAAGTTTGAAAAAACCTGAAAGCTCTTCAAATACTAAAGAAAGGCCAGGCGCGGTGGCTCACGCCTGTAACCCCACCACTTTGGGAGGCTGAGGCGGGCAGATCACAAGATCACAAGATCGAGATCATCCTGGCCAACACGGTGGAACCCCAGCTCTACTAAAAATACAAAAATTAGCTGGGAGTGGTGGCAGGCGCCTGTAGTCCCAGCTACTCGGGAAGCTGAGGCAGGAGAATTGCTTTAACCTAGGAGGTGGAGGTTATAGTAAGCCGAGATCGCGCCACTGCACTCGCACTCCAGCCTGGCGACAGAGCGAGATCTCGTCTCAAAAAAAAAAAAAAACACTAAAAACTAAAGAAAATGCCACTATAAAAGGAGAATGGGGGGCTGGGCGTGGTGGCTCATGCCTGTAATCCCAGCACTTTGGGACACCAAGGCAGGCGGATCACCTGAGGTCAGGAGTTTAAGACTAGCCTAACCAACATGGTGAAACCGTCTCTACTAAAAATACAAAATTAGACGGGTGTGGTGGCGCATGCCTGTAATCCCACCTACTCGGGAGGTTGAGACAGGAGAATCGCTTGAACCCGGGAGGCAGAGGTTGCTGTGAGCCGAGATTGCGCCACTACACTCCAGCCTGGGCGACAAGAGTGAAACTCTGTCTTTTAAAAAAAAAAAGATCGGGAAAGCCAATGGGATAGCAAGAGGATTGGCCTTGATAAAAGTTTATTTAGGCTGAGCTCAGTAGCTTGCACCTGTAATCCGAGCACTTTGGGAGGCCGAGGCAGGCAGATCACTGAAGGTTGGGAGTTTGAGACTAGCCTGGCCAATAAGGTGAAACCCCGTCTCTAGTAAAAATACAAAAATTAGCCAGGTGCGGTGGCGAGTGCCTGTAATCCCAGCTACCTGGGAGGCTGAGGCAGGAGAATGACTTGAACCCAGGAGGCAGAGGTTGGGGTGAGCCAAGATCGTGCCACTGCACTCCAGCCTGGGTGACAAGTGAAACTCTGTCTCAAAAAAAAAGAAAACACAAAAATTAGCCAGGCATGGTGGTGCATGCCCGTAATCCCAGCTACTTAGGAGGCTAAGACAGGACAATCGCTTGAGCCCAGGAGACAGAAGTTGCAGTGGGCCAAGATCATGCCATTTGTACACCAGCCTGGGCAACAGGGAATGAAACCCTGTCTCAGAAAAAAAAAAAAGTAAACTTCACTAGCACTAGAATTCTTACCTCCTGGAGTCTCAGGGATTTCAGGACAGTGTAAAGGAACCAATGTTTTAAAACTGTTTAACCTTGAGTATTACAGTCAAGAATTATAACTGCCTAGAAGTTGACCACCATTCCTAATGAGGAACTCATATTTTCAACCTCCAATTCCACTCCTTCCCAAATAAGAGGAAGAAGTTTACTGTTTTTCTTTGACAAGTAAAAGCTACAGCAGGCCGGGGCATGGTGGCTCATGCCTGTTGTAATCCCAGCACTTTGTGAGGCCAAGGTGGGTGGATCACCTAAGTTCAGGACCTGACCAACATGGAGAAACCCTGTCTCTACTAAAAATACAAAATTAGCCTGGCGTGGTGGCACATGCCTGTAATCCCAGCTATTCGGGAGGCTGAGGCAGGAGAATCACTTGAATCTGGGAGGCAGAGGTTGCGGTGAGCCAAGATAGTGTGCCATTGCACTCCAGCCTGGGCAACAAGAGCCAAACTCCATCTCCAAAAACAAAAACAAAAACAAGAAAAACAAAGTTATAGTTGCTTATATGAAAGAACAGAGTGAGCTGAATAATTCTTTTTTTTTTTTTTTTGAGAAGGAGTCTTACTCTGTCGCCCAGGCTAGAATGCAGTGGCACAATCTCGGCTCACTACGACCCCTGCCTCCCGGGTTCAAGCAATTCTCCTGCCTCAGCCTCCCGAGTAGCTAGGATTATAGGCACCTGCCACCTCGCCCAGCTAATTTTTGTATTTTTGGTAGAGACGGGGTTTCGCCATGTTGGCCATCGCTGGTCTCAAACTCCTGACCTCATGATCCACCCGCCTCAGCCTCCCAAAGTGCTGGGATTACAGGCGTGAGCCACTGCGCCCAGCCGAGTCGAATAATTCTGTAGATAGTTAATTTCTCAACAAGCTAGGCACAGTGGCTCACACCTGTAATCCCAACACTTTGGGAGGTTGAGGTGGGAAGACTGCTTGAGCCTAGAGTCTGATCAACATAGTGAGATCTTGTCTCTTAAAAAAAAAAAAAAATAGGCATCATACATTAGTGTTTGCGGGAGGAAGGGACAATTGGAGAGTGATTACTAATAGACACGGTTTCTTTTTGTTGGGATAATGAAAACCTTCTGGAGTTAGATCATGGTGATGATCATACAATTTTGTAAATACACTAAAACCCACAGAATTGCATTATTGTGGCCATGTGCGGTGGCTTATGCCTATAATCCTAGCTACTTAGAGGCTGAGGCAGGAGAATCGCTTGAACCTGGGAGGTGGAGGTTGCAGTGAGCCAAGATCCCACCACTGCACTCCAGCCTGGGTGACGAGAGAGAGACTCTGTCTCAGACAAAAAAAAAAAAAAAAAGGGGCCAGGCGCGGTGGCTCACGCCTGTAATCACAGCACTTTGGGAGGCCAAGGAGGGAGGATCACCTGAGGTCAGGAGTTCGACCAGCCTGGCCAACATGTTGAAACCTCGTCTCTACTAAAAATACGAAAATTAGCCAGGCATGGTGGTGGGCGCCTGTAATCCCAGCTACTTGGAAGGCTGAGGGAGAACTGCTTGAACCCAGCAGGCGGAGGTTGCAGTGAGCCGAGATCACGCCACTGCACTCCAGCCCTGGCGACAGAGTGAGACTCAGTCTCCCCAGAAAAACAGAAAAAAAACAACAAAAAGAGTATAGTCTAGATGACTTAAGTTCTCTTCAAACTCTGTGATTCTATGTATGTAGTGAGAAATAACCATTTGATGCTTAGATACAAAAGTATTATTACATCCACAGAAAGCATTCAGATATGCATATAAGATACATGTCTACTTACACATGCATTAAGTTATCTCTGTAATGACACACGAAAAAATAGTTATTGCCTCTGGAGAAAGGAAATGTTGGGGTGAGGTTCAAGACTCAGGTAAAGATACTGATCTGCATGCCCCTTCTCCACTGTTTGAATTTAACAGTGTCTATTCCTATTCCACAAGAAATTTTAAAGTATAAATCATGAAGGTCAGAACTTAAACATGTCCTGAAGCTAGGAAACTGCCAATCTAACCCAATATGAAAAAGCATGGGCTAAACTTCGTCTAGCCAGAGAATTAAACTGTTTCAAACTATCCTGTAACATCTTTAAGAACTAAGAGTAACTAGGGCCTAAATCTCCAAACGTGGAAACTGTATGCTTTGGCAAATCACTCAGAACCAAGTGAAAGGCTCCAGCATAAACACATAAGGCTGACAGAGACCAGGGCTCCTGTCAACATGAAGTGGATGGTGGCAAAATGTGGGTCTCACTAGTAAGGTCCAAAGCACATTAATGAGGCTGGGCTCGGTGGCTCACGCCTGCAATCCAAGCACTTTGGGAGGCCTAAGTCATGGGGATCACTTGAGGTCAGGAGTTCCAGACAAGCCTGGCCAACATGATGAAACCCCATCTCTATTAAAAAAAAAAAAAAAATTAGCTGGGCGTGGTGGTGCGAATCTGTAATCCCTGCTACTCAGGAGGCTGAGGTGGGAGGATCGATTGAGCCTGGGAGGTGGAGGCTGTAGTCAGCCGAGATCGCACCACTGCACTCCAGCCTGGGCAACAAAGCAAGACTCCGTCTGAAAAGCAAAACAAAACAAAACACCAAAGTGCACTAATGAAAATCCAATGGGCAGCAGCAGCTGCATTGTAAGCACTTAAAGGACTTTTCCCTTCTGACCTAGACCAGCTTCTACAGCAGGCCAAACACTAATACATCTACAGAGTAAAAGTTTCCATTATAACGCCATTTGGAGGTAGCAGACTGGTGGCTCAGAATGGAGACTCTCCAGTCAGAGAAGACCAGGTCCAGGCATCGTACTCCTCCATTTATTGGATGTGTGAACTTGGACAAGGGTATTTCACCTCCCTGAGGTTGTACTCACTTCCTCAACACACTCAATAAGCATGTGAGTGCTTATTGCGCACAGCCACTGCGCTTTCAATTGGTGGGTGATGCGAAGGGTAGAAAAGTGGGAGTACCCGAGAGTCCTGGGAGTCAGAGAAGGCTCTTTAGGAGAGATATCCAGGCTAAAACCTGAAGGAGGAGGCAACGCTGAGATGAGGACCGTCGCAGGAGGAACAGCAAGTACAAGGGCCCAGAGTAGAGAACACGCTTGGTGCATTCAAATAACACAAAGAGGCCAGAAGCGATGGTTCACGCCTGTAATCCTTAAACTTTGGGAGGCCGAGGCGGCGGGATCACCAGAGGTCAGGAGTTGAAGACCAGACTGGTCGGCTGGGCGCGGTGGCTCACACCTGTAATCCCAGCACTTTGGGAGGCCGAGGCGGGCGGATCACGAGGTCAGGAGATCGAGACCATCGTGAAACCCTGTCTCTACTAAAAATACAAAAAAATTAGCTGGGTGCGGTGGCGGGCGCCTGTAGTCCCAGCTACTCGGGAGGCTGAGGCAGGATAATGGCGTGAACCCAGAAGGCGAAGCTTGCAGTGAGCCAAGATCGTGCAGAGCGAGACTCCGTCTCAAAAAAAAAAAAAAAAAAAAAAAAAGACCAGACTGGTCAATATAGTGAAACTCTGTTTCTACTAAAATAACAAAAATTAGCTGGGCGTGTGGCGCTCGCCTGTAATCCCAGCTACTTGGTTGGCTGAGGCAGGAGGATCGCTTGAACCCAGGAAGCGGAGGCTGCAGTGAGCCAAGACTGCGCCACTCAACTCCAGCATGGGCGACAGAGCGAGGCTGTCTCAAAAAAATAAAAATAAATAAACAAATAAAAACAAATAACAGAATAGCCAGGGAGGCTAGAGAGCAGTGAACAGAGTAATGAGATGAAGTCGCAGAGAGTGGAGGGCAGATATTTGCCTTCAGAGGCCATGGGAAAGAATTTTCATAAGTGCAATAAAGGATTTTTTTTTTTTTTTGAGACGGAGTCTCGCTCTGTCGTCCAGGCTGGAGTGCAGTGGTGCTACTTCGGCTCACTGCAAGCTCCGCCTCCCGGGTTCACGTTATTCTTCTGCCTCAGCCTCCCGAGTAGCTGGGACTACAGGCGCCCGCCACCACGCCTGGCTAAATTTTTTTGGTATTTTTTAAGCAGAGACGGGGTTACACTGTGTTAGCCAGGATGATCTCGATCTCCTGACCTCGTGATCCGCCCGCCTCGGCCTCCCAAAGTGCTGGGATTACAGGCATGAGCCACTACGCCCGGCCAATAAAGGATATTAAGCAGGAGAGGGACATGCACTCAAGGATGGAATCAGCTCAGTGCTTCAAGGAAACATGAAAGGCGCCACGCCCACCCATTAATGGAGTCTCCCGTTTCCTTTTTTTGAGACAGGCAGTCGTTCTGTCGCCCACGGTAAAGGACAATGATGCGATCACGGCTCACTGCAGCCTCGACCTCCTGGGTTCAAGCGATCCTCCTGCCTCAGCCTCCCGAGTAGCTGGGACCGCAGGCACGCACCATCACGCCCGGCTAATTGTTTAATTTTTACTTTTCGTAGAGGCAGGGTCTCCCTATGTTGCCCAGGTTGGTCTTGAACTCCTGGGCTCAAGCGATCCTCCCGCCTCGGCCTCCCAAAGGGCTCGTATTAGAGGCGTGAGCCACCGCGCCCGGCCCCGTTTTCAGGGGTTTCCCAAGGCCAGAAAGTGGACCCTCCTGATACACTTAACGGGGGGACCAATCTCAGATGCGGGGGCTAGCGCATAAAAACCAGGAGGCTGGGTCCCTGAGCTGCAGCGAGAGAAAAAAACGTTCTTCTGGAAGGAGCCGAGAGGGAAGGATTCAGCCTAGCGATGTGACAGTCGCGCTGCCCCGCGACAGGTGCCTCAGGAAACCCTCGCCTGGGTCGTCCTCAGAGCCTCTGCCTTCTATGTCTCCAAGCCGCCGCTCGCCACATCCCCGCGGGACTTGACGCCGGCACCCAGTGAACCCAACTTGCGCTCCGAAGTCTGCTCCGCTCCAGGACGCCCTCGCAGACCCCGGAGCCTCCGCTGGCGCCGGCGGCCGCTCCTTCCCGCCTGTTCCCACGTGCCCTGAGCCCCCGCTCCCAGACCGCCGCCGCTTTCTCCTCAGCCCCAGGCAGCTACCCGCCTCAACTCACGGGTTGTTATTACTCATTGTAAGTAACAAGCTGCTGAGGAGCCGCACGTTGGAGTGCAGCCCCGCGGCCGCCATGTCCCGCACGTGGTCTATCACATTCATCCTGCTCTGCAAAGCCGCGGGCAGCGGCGGCAGCACTGACTCGAAAAGCCGGTAGAGGATCCTTAGGGAAGACTCCAAAATGGCGGCGTCGCCGGGGTCCATCGGGTCCACACGCGGCACCACCCCCAAGCAAGAGGTAACTACTGAAGTGCCCGAATAAAAAGAAACTCGAGTCCCTGCTCCTGTCGTGGTCCTTTTCAGGTGAAATGAGTTGTTATTTTTACGCAAAAATCACGTTATCATCCTAAACTGCAAACTTTACTGAGGATTTACAATGAGACAAAAGGCACCTTATAAGACTACTCGGTCAATTTGAATGAGTCTGAGAGGAATTTGTGCCTCTCAGAAATTAAAATGTGTGGGTATTTACCGAAATAAAATACAGTAAGGTGAGGAAAAACGCTCCAACTGGAATTAAATATTCTAATCGGGCGCCAGGGACAGACCTAACGGCCTTTACAGTGGCGCATGCGCACCAGGCTAGGGCCGCCGCGCCCCTCCTCAGGTGTTTTGTGTTCCTGCCAAGTCAGGCTTCGGCCCTGGGGGAACTCCTTGGTTCGAGGGGTATATTTCCCCATGTAAAATTATTCCCTAGATCCGTGGAAATAAAGGCTGGATCCAGGAATTAGCTGATACCCATATAAACCAGTATGTGTCTGGCACACTTAACGTTTTAGGAAAGTTTTACACAAGTTATTGGGACGCTCACAACAATCCATAAAGTTGAAGTTGTCATTCCCTTCCCACAAGGGAAGAAACTGCCTGCTTAAATTTTGTGCTCAGGTTGTTAAATGGTTGACTTGGAATCAGATCGACTGGTTAATTATGTTGGATCGCAAACTCAAATGTATACAGGGACCAGGGAGGTAACTGAGCCAATGAGGCAGTTTAGGTCGTTGAGTCAGAGTCCGAATATTCTCCACAGTCATCCTCTCAGATCTAGCCTATCGCTCCTTTCTTAAAGGAGACAGTCGTTTTGGTCTAGATTTTGTTTTCATTTGATTTTTACAGTAGTAGATGCAAAAAAAATGCTCTGAAAAAATCACAGTGTATCTTCATCAGCAACTTTTTCAGCTCTTAACATTTTGTCACAGTTGAAGCTCCTGTAGATCCTTTTCCCATCTCATCCCCTACTCTAGTTTCCTGGATGTGTGAGACCTTCTATTTGATTTTGGTGGGCATCATCACTGTGAACTTTTCTTTTTTCTTTTTTTCGAGACGGAGTTTTGCTCTTGTCGCCCAGGCTGGAGTGCAAAATCTCAGCTCACTGCAACCTCTGTCACCCGGGTTCAAGGAATTCTCCCTGCCTCAGCTTCCCGAGTAGCTGGGATTACAGGCGCCTGCCACCACTGTCATGTGCGTCCGTGTGAAGAGACCACCAAACAGGCTTTGTGTGAGCAACAAGGCTGTTTGTTTCACCTGGGTGCAGGCAGGATGGTAGCAGCACGAGCCATAGGCAAAACTCCTCAGACACCAAGTTAAAGAAGGAAGGAGTATATTCGGCTGGGAGCATCAGCAAGGCTCCTGTCTCAAGAGCCGAGCTCCCCGAGTGAGCAATTCCTGTCCCTTTTAAGGGCTCACAATTCTAAGGGGGTCCGCGTGAGAGAGTCGTGATCGATTGAGTAAGCAGGGGGTACATGACATGCACCGGTGGTCAGAGTGAAACAGACCGGGAAGTTTCACAATGTCTTTCTATAATCTGTAGATAACATCAGTTGCTAGGTCAGGGGTCAGTTAAGGCAGGAACCGGCCCTTTTCACTTCTTTTGTGATTCTTCAGTTACTTCAGGCCATCTGGATGTACACATGCAGGCTTGGGTTCAGAGGCCTGACATTCCTGTCTTCTTACGTTAACAAGAAGAATAAAACGAAATAGTCGTAAAGTGTTGCGGCAGCGAAAATTTTTGGGGGTGGTATGGAGAGATAATGGGCGATGTTTTTCAGGGCTGCTTCAAGTGGGATTGGGGGTGGTGTGTGGGAACCTAGAGTGGGAGAGATTAAGCTGAAAGAAGATTTTGTGGTAAGGGACAATATTGTGGGGTTGTTAAAAGGAGCATTTGTCGTATAGAATGATTGGTGATGGCCTGGATGCAGTTTTGTATGAATTGAGAAACTAAATGAAAGACACAAGGTCTGAATTAAGAGAAGGAGAAAAACAGGTATTAAATAACTAAGAATTGGGAGGACCCAGGACATCCAATTAGAGAGTGCTCAAGGGGGTTCAGCATAATTACCTGCTTGGTTGGTGAGTTTTGGGGCTCTATCCTTGACAGAGTCCTTTTTAAGTTGGAGGCTGAGCTTGGTGAGGTGTGTTTTTAAAAGACCATTAGTCCATTCTACCTTTCCTGAAGATTGAGGACAATAATGGGTATGAAGTTTTCACTGAATACCAAGAGCCTGAGAAACTGCTTCGGTGATTTGACTAGTAAAGGCCGGTCCGTTATCGGACTGTATAGAGATGGGAAGGCCAAACCGAGGAATTATGTCTGACAGAAGGGAAGAAATGATTGCGGTGGCCTTCTCAGACCCTGTGGGAAAGGCCTCTACCCATCCAGTGAAAGTGTCTACCCAGACCAAGAGGTTTTTTTGTTTCCTGACTTGGGGCATGTGAGTAAGGTCAATTTGCCAGTCCTGGGCAGGGGCAAATCCCCGAGCTTGATGTGTAGGGAAGGGAGGGGGCCTGAACAATCCCTGAGGAGTAGTAGAATAGCAGATGGAACACTGAGAAGTGATTTCCTTGAGGATAGATTTCCTCAACGGAAAGGAAATGAGAGGTTCTAAGAGGAGGGCTAGCAGCTTGTAACCTACATGGAAGAGGTTATGAAATGACGACAGAATAGAATGGGCCTGTGAGGCTGGAAGAAGATATTTTCTTTGGTCCAAGAACCATTTGTCTTGTGTGGGAAGAGATTGATAGGTAGAAGTTTCAGTGGGGGAGTAGGTGAGAGTGACCAGATGAGAAGGAGAAAAATTGGCCGTGAGGGACAGAAGTTGGAAGGCTAAGCTGCTTCTTTAGCTACCTTGTCAGCGTAAGCGTTGCCCTGAGCGATGGGATCTGATGCCTTTTGATGGCCCTTGCAGTGAATGACTCCAGCTTCCTTTGGAAGTAAAGCGGCCTTGAAAAGAGTTTTTATTAAAGAGGCATTCATGATAGAGGACCCTTGAGTAGTAAGGAAACCTCTTTCAGCCCATATAACAGCATGGTGGTGTAGGATATGGAAGGCATATTTAGAGTCAGTATAAATATTGATGCGTAGTCCCTTTGCAAGAGTGAGGGCCTGAGTTAAGGCAATTGGTTCGGCTTGCTGAGAGGTAGTGCAGGGGGTCAGAGCAGTAGCCTCAATGATAGATGTGGAAGATACTATAGCATAGCCTGCCTTTGCTGGTGAGTGGCAATTAGGCCTGGTGGAACTGCCATCAATAAACCAAGTGTGATCAGGGTGAGGAACAGGAAAGAAGGAAATATGGGGAAATGGAGTGAATGTCAGCTGGATCAGAGAGATACAGTGATGTGGGTCAGGTGTGGTATCCGGAATAATGTGGGGGCTAGCCTAAAACAGTGAGGTCAAGTTGTTTGGACAGAAAGGCTACAGGGTGCGGTCCCAGCTCTTGTGCAAGAATTTTGACCACACAGCCCTGTACTTTGGCTGTGTGTAATGAAAAGGGTTGGGATGAGTTAGGGAGAGCTAGTGTGGGAGCAGCTTCTAGGGCTGTTTTTAAGGAACAGAAAGAGGAGTGGTGAAAAAATTTAGGATCTATGGAGTCAGCTAGGTTTGCTTTTGTGAGTTTATGTAACGTTTTAGTCAGGATGGTAAAACTAGGTATCCAAAAGTGGAAGTACCTAACAATGCATAGGAAGGAAAGGAGTTGTTGTTTTGTAGAAGGGATTGGGGTTTGGGAGATTAGCTGGACACAATCAGCAGGGAGAGCATGTGTGTTTTCACAAAGAGTTATGCCAAGATAGGTAATGGATGAGGAAGAAATTTGGGCTTGACTAAAGTAATGGGAGCTGTCTGTGAAGCCTTGCGGCAGTACAGCCCAGGTAGTTTGCTGAGCCTAATGGGTGTCAGGGTCAGTCCAAGTGAAAGTGAAGAGAGACTGTGATGAAGTGTGCAAAGGAATAGTAAAGAAAGCATGTTTGAGATCCAGAACAGAATAATGGGTTATGGAGGGGTTGTGGAGGGAGGTATTGAGGATAGAAGAGTATATGGCTTTGGCACCATGGGTTGAATAGGCAAGACAATTTGGTTGATAAGGCACAGATCCTGAACTAACCTGTAAGACTTGTCTGGTTTTTGGACAGGTAAAATGGGGGAATTGTAAGGAGAGTTTATAGGCTTTAAAAGGCCATGCTGTAACAGGCAAGTGATAACGGGCTTTAATCCTTTTAAAGCATGGCGGGCTAAGGGTGATTAGGTTTTAATGGGATGGTAAGGGGTGCATGATTGGTCTCCAAGGAGGGAGTAGAGGTATCATATACTCGTGGATTAGGGTGGGGAGATACAAGGGGAGGATGTGAAGGAGTCTTTGAACTGGGGAAAAGGGCAGTAATGAGGTGTGGCTGTAGCCTAGGAATAATCAGGGAAGCAGATAATTTAGTTAAAATGTCTCAACCTAATAAGGGAGCTGGTCAGGTGGGGATAACTAAAAAAGAGTGCATAAAAGAATGTTGTCCAAGTTGGCATCAGAGTTGGGAAGTTTTAAGAGGTTTAGAAGCCTGGCCGTCAATATCCACAACAGTTATGGAGGCAAGGGAAACATGCCCTTGAAAAGAAGGTAATGTGGAGTGGGTAGCCTCCGTATTGATTAAGAAGGGGACGGACTTACCTTCCACTGTAAGAGTTACCCAAAGCGTCTGTGATGGTCCTGTAGGCTTCCGAGGTGATCGGGCAGTGTCAGTCTTCAGCCACTAAGCAGAGAAGATCTGGGAAGGAGTCAGTCAGAGAGCCTTGGGCCAGAGTTCCAGGGGGTCTGGGAGTGGCTGCTGGGTTGGACAGTCCAATTGCCAGTGGGGTCCCGCACAGATGGGACGTAGCTTAGGAGGAATCCTGGGCTGCGGGCATTCCTTGGCCCAGTGGCCAGATTTCCAGCACTTGAAGCAAGATCCTGGGGTAGGTGGTGTCAAGCCTCTGAGCCCAAGCTAAGCCATCATATCCCCTGTGGCCTGCACGTACATATCCAGATGGCCTGAAGCAATTGAAGATCCACAAAAGAGGTAAAAATAGACTTAACTGATAACGATACACCATTGTGATTTGTTCCTGCCCCACCCTAACTGATATGATATAGTCTACCCTGCCCTTAAGAAGGTACTTTGTAATATTCTCCCCCTCCCTTAAGAATATACTTTGTATGCCTATCCCAAACCTATAAGAACTAATGATAATCCCACCACCCTTAGCTGACTCTCTTTTCGGACTCAGCCTGCCTGCACCCAGGTGAAATAAACAGACTTATTGATCACACAAAGCCTGTTTGGTGGTCTCTTCACATGGACGTGCATGACAGGCAGTCCTGGAGGAATGCCTGGCCTCTGCGGTTCAGGCGTTTGGAAGTTCTTGTGTACTGGAGATGTGGCTGGGGTTTGTCTCACGGTGGAGGCAAGGAATTGCAACTCAGAAATACATTGCTACTTGGCTGCCTCTACTTTATTATTGTACACCTTGAAGGTGACGTTAATTAAGTCCTGTTGTGGGGTTTGAGGGCCACAGTCTAATTTCTGGAGCTTTTTTTTAATGTCGGGAGTGGGTTGGGTAATAAAATGTTTATTGAGAATAAGACAGCCTTCTGGCCCTTCTGGGTCTAGGATGGTAAAGTGTCTAAGGGTTGTTGCCAAACGGGCCATGGACTGGGCTGGGTTTTTATATTTGATGAAAAAGAGCCTAAACACTAACTGATTTGGGAAAGGTTGGATAAAGAAATAGGAGCATTAACCTTGACTATGCCTTTAGCTCCAGCTACCTTTTTAAGAGGAAATTGTTGGGCAGGTTGGGGAGGGCTAGTTGTGGAATGAAACTGCAAGCCGGACCGGGTGTGAGGAGGGGAGGTGATAAAAGGATTATAGGGTGGGGGAGCGGAGGCTGAGGAAGAATTGGGACCTGGCTCGGCCTGGCGAGGAGCAGCCTGGGGAGGAGAGGTCAGATGGGTCTGTAGAAAAGGAAGATTCAAAAGACTCAGCAATGCTTGGGGTTGGGACTGAAGGGACAGGCGAGAGGGAAAGAAGGAGGATTTGGGATGAGTCGCATTGGGAACAGAGACTAGGGAGGGACCGATGTGTAAAAGAACGCCTGGACGTCAGGCACCTCAGACCATTTGTCCATTTTTCGACAAAAATCATCCAGGTCTTGTAAAACGGAGAAATCAAAAATGCCATTTTCTGGCTATTTAGAACCATTATAAAGTTTGTATTGGGGCCAAGTGGTGTTGCAGAAGAAAATAAGATGCTTAGGTTTTAGGTCAGGTGAGAGTTGAAGAGATTTTAAGTTTTTAAGAACACAGGCTAAAGGAGAAGATGGGGGAATGGAGGGCAGAAGTTTGCTCATAGTGAAGGAGGTAAGTTTAAAGAGAAAGGTAGAGACATGGAGAAGGGGGTGGTGAGCAGCCAAAGCAGGCGTCTCCACAACTGACTTGCCACCAAGGGAATGTGGGTGAATGACCAAGCAGGCGTCCCCGCAGTGATCAGACACCAATGGACTGTGGGTGAATAATCAGGCAGGCATCCCCACAGTGATTAAACACCAAGGGAAGACTGTCTTCCCGAGTCCATGTCCGGCGCCAGAGTTTTGGGTCCATGGATAAAATGTGTCTCCTTTGTCTCTACTAGAGAGGAAAAAGAACTGGAATTGGAAGGACAGGGAGATTGAAGGGTAGCAAGGGAGGGAGATTGAAGGGTAGCAAGAGAGGCTGGAGAAGAGAGTGAAAAGACCGTTTACCCGATTTGAAATTCATGAGATGTTCTTTGGGCTGGTTGGTCTGAGGACCCGAGGTCATAAGTGGATCTCCTCATGGAGTGAGGGTGAGGACAGGGGACCGGTCTCCCAAAGGAGTCCTCTTGTCCCGGGTTTCAGCACCAAATGTCATGCACGTCCATGTGAAGAGACCACCAAACAGGCTTTGTGTGAGCAACAAGGCTGTTTATTTCACCTGGGTGCAGGCGGGCTGAGTCCCAAAAGAGAGTCAGCAAAGGGAGATAGGGGTGGGGCTGTTTTATAGGATTTGGGTAGGTAAAGGAAAATTACAGTCAAAGGGGGTTGTTCTCTGGCGGGCAGGGGCGGGGGTTGCAAGGTGCTCAGTGGGGGAGCTTCTGAGCCAGGAGAAGGAATTTCACAAAGTAATGTCATCAGTTAAGGCAGGAACTGGCCATTTTTACTTCTTTTGTGATTCTTCAGTTACTTCAGGCCATCTGGATGTATACATGCAGGCTTGGGCTCAGAGGCCTGACAACCATGCCCAGCTAATTTTGTATTTTTAGTAGAGACAGGGTTTCTCCATGTTGGTCAGGCTGGTCTCCAACTCCTGACCTCAGGTGATCCACCTGCCTTGGCCTCTCAAAGTGCTGGGATTACAGGCGTGAGCAACCATGCCCAGCCGAACTTTTTTTTTTTTGGGACAGAGTCTCACTGTGTCCCCCAAGCTGGAGTGCAGTGGTAGGATCTCTGCTCACCACAACCTCCACCTCCCAGGTTCAAGCTATTCTGCCTCAGCCTCCCAAGTAGCTGGGATTAAAGGCATGCACCATCATGCCTGACTTATTTTTGTATTTTTAGTAGAGACAGGGTTTTGCTTTGTTGGCTAGTCTGGTCTTGAACTCTTGACCTCAGGTGATCTGCCAGCCTCGGCCTTCTAAAGTGCTAGGATTACAGGTGTTAGCCACTGTGCCCGGCCTTCTGTGAACTTTTAAATACTTTTTCTTTTCTTTTTTTTTTTTTTCTGAGATGGAGTTTCATTCTTCTTGCGCAGGCTGGAGTGCAATGGCGCAATTTTGGCTCACTGCAAATGCTGCCTCCCGGGTTCAAGCGATTCTCCTGCCTCAGCCTCCCAAGTAGCTGGGATTACAGGCACGCGCCACTATGCACAGCTAATTTTTGTATTTTTAGTAGAGATGAAGTTTCGCCCTGATGGCCAGGCTGGTCTTGAACTCCCAACATCAGGTGATCTGCCCACCTCAGCCTCCCAAAGTGCTGGGATTACAGCTGTAAGGCACCACGCCCAGCCTTAAATACTTTTTCTAAATATGTATATATCCAAAAACAATGTATAACATTGTCATCTTGATAAATGGCAATTGACATCACCACTCAGCACATGGGGAGGAGCAGGGAAGTTGTAACAAACTGGAGTATGCCCTCTCTACAGGGGCAGCTGCAACTTAATTTCAGTATATTAGTCCCAGGCAGCTGGGAATTTTCTGTATCATTTGACTTTTCAAAAGAATTCATAGTTATAAATCTGGATTTTAATATTTGAAGTATTCCAATTTTTTTTTTTTTGAAACAGTTTCACTCTGTCACCCAGGCTGGAGTGCAGTGGCACGATCTTGGCTCACTGCAACCTCTGCCTCCTGGGTTGAAGGGATTCTCCTGCTTCAGCCTCCCAAGTAGCTGGGACTACAGGCATGCGCCACCACATCCAGCTAATTTTTGTATTTTTGGTAGAGACCGGGTTTCACCATGTTGGCCAGGCTGGTCTCAAACTCCTGAGCTCAGGTGATCCACCCACCTCTGCCTCCCAAAGTGCTGGGATTACAGGCATGAGCCACTGTGCCTGGCCAAGTATTCCAATTTTTAAACGTTGGCCAAAATGAAAATAACAAGAACTTTCTATGTATAGAAGACCAAAGCCTTGAAACATATTGTTTATACATTGGCGGAAGAATGGATACATTTTGCTACATTTATGCAAGGAACTGCTATGCAGCATTTAAAACATAAGTGAACTCTAACACATGTATTAATGTTAACATGGATAAATGTAAAAAAGTATATTGAATGACTAAAGCAAGTTGTAGAATTGTATCACTCTATGATACCATTTCAATAAAGTTTGAAAACATACAGGATGTTATACATTGTTTTTGGATACATACATATTTAGGAAAAGTATTTAAAAGTTCATGGTGAAGATGCCCACCAAAATCAAATTGAAGGTTACATCTAGAAAACGAGAATAGGGAATGAGATGGGAAAGGGATCTACGGGAGCTTCAACTGTGGCAAAATGCAAGAGCTAAAAAAGTTAAATGATGAAGATACAGGTATTCTTTTTTTTTTTTGGAGACAGAGTCTCACTCTGTCACCCAGGCTGGAGTGCAGTGGCGCCATCTCAGCTCACTGCAACCTCCGCCTCCCAGGTTCAAGCGATTCTCCTGCCTCAGCCTTCTGAGTAGCTGAGACTACAGGTGAGGGCCACCATGCCCAGGTAATTTTTTGTATTTTTAGTAGAGATGGGGTTTCACTGTGTTAGCCAGGATGGTTTTGATCTGACCTCGAGATCCGCCCACCTCAGCCTCCCAAAGTTCTGGGATTACAGGCGTGAGCCACTGCACCCGGCTGATACAGGTATTCTTTACATTGTCCTTCATAAATGGCACTGGGGAGCCATTAAAAGCATAGAAATAGGCACTAGACTGCCTGGGTTTAAATCTCATTTTTGCCATTTATTATCTTAATTTAAATGTCACTTAATTTTCTGGAACCTTAGTCACCCCTTCTGTGAAACGGGGGAGATATAACAGCACCTATTTAATGGGATTGTTGTAAATATTAAATTAATTCATGGTGGGAAGCTATTAAGGGCAGCATGGTAGAAGTGATCCACCCCAGGGCATAGGTTAGAGAGGGGTAGGTTGCACCACTGCTCACTCCAGCCTGGGCAACAGAGCAAGACTCCATCTCAGAAAACAAACAAACAAACAAAAAAAAACAGGCCAGGCGCGGTGGCTCATGCCTGTAATCCCAGCACTTTGGGAGGCTGAGACAGGTGGATCACCTGCCGTCAGGAGTTCAAGACGAGCCTGGCCAACATGGTGAAACCCTGTCTCTACTAAAAATACAAAAATTAGCCGGGTGTGGTGACAGACAACTGTAATCCCAGCTACTTGGGAGGCCGAGGCAGGAGAATTGCCTGAACCCAGGAGGTGGAAGTGGCAGTGAGCCAAGATTGTGCCACTGCACTCCAGCCTGGGCAACAGAGCAAGATTCTGTCTCAGATAAATAAATAAATAAATATTATATAATATATATTATTTATATTAATATATATTAGATTGCTCTTGCCATACTGCCGAGGCAGGCAATATAATATATAATATATAGTATATTATATATTATATATTTTATATATTGTATATTATATATTATATATATTATATATAATATATAATATACAATATACAATATATAATATATATTATATACAATATAAACTTTAATAATATAATATATAATATATATTATATATAATATAAACTATAATAATATTATATATAATATAATAAAAATAATAAAATAGGCTATGTACGGTGGCTCAGGAGGCTGAGGCAGGAGGATCCCTGAGCCCAGGAGTTTGAGCCACTCTAAGCAACACAGGGAGATCCAATCTGGAAAAAAAAAAAATAGGGCCGGGTGTGGTGGCTCACGCCTGTAATCCCAGCACTTTGGGAGGCTGAGGCGGGCAGATCACGAAGTCAGCAGATGGAGACCATCCTGGCCAACATGGTGAAACGCCGTCTCTACTAAAAATACAAAAATTAGCTGGGCGTGCCGGGCGGGGTTGCTCATGCCTATAATCCCAGCATTTTGGGAGGCCGAGGCGGGCGGATCACGAGGTCAGGAGATCGAGACCATTCTGGCTAACATGATGAAACCCCATCTCTACTAAAAATACAAAAAATTAGCCGGGCGTGGTGGTGGGCGCCTGTAGTCCCAGCTTCTTGGGAGGCTGAGGCAGAAGAATGGCATGAACCTAGGAGGCAGAGCTTGCAGTGAGCCGAGATTGCGCCACTGCACTCCAGCCTGGGTGACAGAGCGAGATATATATATATATATATGTGTGTGTGTATATATATATATATATATATATATATATATATATATTTTTTTTTTTTTTTTTTTTTTTTTTTTTTTTTTGAGACGGAGTCTCGCTCTGTCACCCAGGCTGGAGTGCAGTGGCGCGATTCTCCCGCCTCAGCCTCCTGAGTAGTTGGGATTACAGGCAGGTGCCACCACACCCGGGTAATTTTTGTATTTTTAGTAGAGACGGAGTTTCACCATGTTGGTCAGGCTGGTCTCGAACTCCTGACCTCGTGATCCACCCGCCCTGGCCTCCCGAAGTGCTGGGATTACAGGCATGAGCCACCACGCCCGGCCATAAATATATTTATATGTGTATATACACACATATATATACAAATATTTAAATGTCATTTAAAAGCATTAATTTGTTACCTTTTTGTACCATAATATGAATTTGATTTTTTTTTTCTTTTGATACAGAATCTCACTCTGTCATCCTAGCTGGAGTGTAGTGGCATGATCTCAGCTCACTGAAACCTCCACCTCCTGGGCTCAAGTGATTCTCCCACCTCAGCCTCCTGAGTAGCTGGTATTACAGATGCACACCACCACGCCCAGCTAATTTTTTTTTTTTTTTTTTTTGAGAAGGAGCTTTGCTCTTGTTGCCCAGGCTGGAGTGCAATGGTGTGATCTCCGCTCACTGTAACCTCCGCTTTCTAGGTTCAAGTGATTCTCCTGCCTCAGCCTCCTGAGTAGCTGGGATTATGGCCTGCGCCACCACGCCCGGCTAATTTTGTATTTTTAGTAGAGACAGGGTTTCTCCATGTTGGTCAGGCTGGTCTTGAACTCCTGACCTTGTGATCCACCCACCTTGGCCTGCCAAAGTGCTGGGATTACAGGCGTGAGCCACCACGTCCAGCCTACAGGCTAATTTTTATATTTTTAGTAGAGACAGGGTTTCACCATGTTGGCCAGGCTGGTATTGAACTCTGGACCTCAGGTGATCCACCAGCCTCGACCTCCCAAAGTGCTGGGATTACAGGCTAATTTTTTTTTTTTTTTTGAGACACAGTCTCACTCTGTTGCCCAGGCTGGAGTGCAGTGGCACGACCTTGGCTCACTGCAAGCTCTGCCTCCCAGGTTCAAGCAATTCTCTGCTTCAGCCTCCCAAGTAGCTGGGATTACAGGCAACCGCCACCACGTCCGGCTAATTTTTGTATTTTTAGTAGAGACGGGGTTTCACCATCTTGGCCAAGCTGGTCTTGAACCCTTGACCTTGTGATCCACATGTCTCCGCCTCCCAAAGTTCTGGGATTACAAGCGTGAGCCACCACGTCCAGCCTACAGGCTAACTTTTTATATTTTTAGTAGAGACAGGGTTTCACCATGTTGGCCAGGCTGGTATTGAACTCTGGACCTCAGGTGATCCACCTGCCTCGACCTCCCAAAGTGCTGGGATTACAGGTGTGAGCCACCATGCCCAGCCATGAAATTCAATAAAGTAAAACTTTCACTGTTTCTTTTCTGGCTGTGATTATTAGTCACTTCATTTCAGAATTATTGCTGACTGTAATTTTGTTATAAAAGACAGAAAATATTAAAAAAATGAGCTGCTCTGAGGCCGGGTGTGGTGGCTCACACCTGTAATCCCAGCACTTTGGGAGGCTGAGGCGGGCGGATCAGGAGGTCAGGAGATCGAGACCAGCCTGGCTAACACAGTGAAACCTGATCTCTACAAAAAATACAAAAAATTAGCCGGGTGCGGTGGTGGGTGCCTGTAGTCCCAGCTACTCGAGAGGCAGAGGCAGGAGAATGGCGTGAACCTGGGAGGCGGAGCTTGCAGTGAGCCTAGATCGTGCCACTGCACTCCAGCCTGGGCAACAGAGCGAGACTCCGTCTCAAAAAAAAAAAAAAAAAAAAGCTGCTCTGCAGGTTGAACCAGCTAGGTGTACCACCATATCTAAGACACTTAGAACAACACCTAGCACACTGTGAGCACTGAAGGAGTGAAGGACGTGCCATCCCAAAATATGCCAAATTGGGCTGGGCATGGTGGTTGTAATCCCAGTACTTTGGGAGGCCGAGGCAGGCAGATCACTTGAGCTCAGGAGTTCAAGACCTGCCTAGGCAATATAGCAAGACCATGTCTGTACAAAAAAACACAAAAATTAGCCGGACATGGTGGTGCTCATCTATAGTCCCAGCTACCAGGGAGACTGAGGCAGGGGAATCACTTGAGCCCAGGAAGTGGAGGCTGCAGTGAGCTATGATCCCACCACTGCACTCCAGCCTGGGTGACAAAGAGAGACCCCGTCTCAAAAATAAATAAATAAATAAAACAAAAATCCCAAAACTCCAAATATGCCAAATCGATATATCAATTATTGAGTTAAAAAGCATTAGAGAGGCTGGGCACGGTGGCTCACGCCTGTAATTCAAGCACTTTGGGAAGCCGAAGCAGGCTGATCACTTGAGCCCAGGAGTTCAAGACCAGCCTGGCCAACATGGTAAAACCCTCTCTCTACTAAAAATACAAAAATTAGCTGGGCGTGGTGACGCATGCTACTCAGGAGACCGAGGCATGAGAATCACTTGAACCTGGGAGGTGGAGGTTGCAGTGAGCTGAGATTGTGTCACTGCACTCCAGTCTGGGTAACAGAGTGAGATTCTGTCACCAAAGAAAAAAAAAATAGAGGAAGTAAAGTTTCAGAAACAATGAGCTGACCACTGTTTTCCTGCATGTAACAAGTGATGAGGATTTATCTGGAAAAGGTACCCTCTCCATATAAGAGCAAGAAAATAGCCCTTATCTCCAGAGACTTAAAACTAAAGGCTACAATGGACCTCCATAAACATACTTAACAAAGTTACCTTTACTTTCACCAGTTTGGCACTCCCCCCATTTATCTCCTAGTGACTCCCCTGAAAAATTTACTGCCCCAGCCAGATTTTCTTTGTCCTGTCATTTCTTCTCAAGTATATTGCTCTTTGTCTAAAACATATAAAGCATCTTATTTGGCCACTTCTTCAGACTTCACTCTTTTTTTTGTGTAGACCCCCCCGTACACGTGAAACAAAGTTTGTACACTTTTCTCTTGTTAATCTGCCTGGTGTCAGTTCGTTTTCGATCCAGCTCAAAAACCCACTAAGAGTTAAAAGAGGGGCTGGAGGTGATCTCTGGGTCCCTTGCAGTGTAGCGGGCTAATTTAGGAATCAGACCGACGGGTTGAGGAGGATACTTACTATTTAATTATTTAGGTGCACCAACCCAGTCGGATTAACATCCAAAGGACTGAGCCCCTAACAAAGAGTCAAGTTACCTTTTAAGCATTTCATGGGGCAGGGGGAGATCTGTGCAGGGGGAAGCATATTACAGAAGTGAGAAACAAAGACAGTTATTCAGTTGAGACATGCATTACATCATTTCTTTTTTTTTTTTTTTTGAGACGGAGTCTCGCTCTGTCGCCCAGGCTGGAGTGCAGTGGCGGGATCTCGGCTCACTGCAAGCTCCGCCTCCGGGTTCACGCCATTCTCCTGCCTCAGCCTCCCAAGTAGCTGGGACTACAGGCGCCCGCCACTACGCCCGGCTAATTTTTTGTATTTTTAGTAGAGACGGGGTTTCACCGTTTTAGCCGGGATGGTCTCGATCTCCTGACCTTGTGATCCGCCCGCCTCGGCCTCCCAAAGTGCTGGGATTACAGGCGTGAGCCACCGCGCCCGGCCGCATTACATCATTTCTTACTTTTCAAGGAAAAACATGTTTTACGACTTGAGTTTATCTATCTACTTACCTTGCAGCCACACAGCTAGAGAAACAGAGTCTTCACAATGCCTGGGAAAGGGAGAGATAAGGCTCACTAGCCACAGACAGAAAAACAGGCAGTTAATTTTTAAAGGACTCCACCTTTTTCTCTTCCTCAGGGGGAATTGGGTTTTCTTACATACAACTGAGTTTTTGCTTACACATTCTTTAATTTCTTTTAATTCCTGTTCCAGAAGCACTATATAAATGTTTGCTATTATACTTTTTTCTTTTCTTTTCTTTTTTTTTTTTTTTTGAGACGGAGTCTCGCTCTGTTGCCCAGGCTGGAGTGCAGTGGTGTGATCTCATCTCACTGCAAGCTCCGCCTCCCGGGTTCATGCCATTCTCCTGCCTCAGCCTCCTGAGTAGCTGGGACTACAGGCGCCCACCACCATGCCTGGCTAATTTTTTGCATCTTATGGAGAAATAGCCATAGCATTTAGCAACATGAAAGTCACTGATGATGTCAACAAGAACATTTTCAGTGGCGCTTTGGTAAAGAGAAGGAGACAAATGTGAGACAATGCATATAGATAATTCTTTTATTTTGAGATGGAGTCTTGCTCTGTTGCCCATGCTAGAGTTCAACGGCATGATCTCGGCTCACTGCAACCTCTGCCTCCCAAGTTCAAGTGATTCTCCTGCCTCAGCCTCCCCAGTAGCTGGATTACAGGCATGCTCCACCATGCTCCTGCTAATTTTTGTGTATTTTAGTAGAGAAGGGGTTTTACCATGTTGGCCAGGCTAGTATTGAACACTTGACCTCAGGTAATCTGCCTGCCTTGGCCTCCCACAGTGCTGGGATTACAGGCATGAGCCACCTTGCCCAGCCAATAATTCTTTTTTTTTTTTTTGAGACGAGATCTCGCCCTTTCGCCCAGGCTGGAGTGCAGTGGCACGACCTTGGCTCACTGCAACCTCCACCTCCTGGGTTCAAGTGATTCTCCTGCCTCAGCCTCCCAAGTAGCTGGGATTACAGGCATGTGCCACCTGCCCGGCTGGCTAATTTTTGTATTTTTAGTAGAGACGGGGTTTCACCATGCTGGCCAGGCTGGTCTCGAACTCTTGACCTGGTGATCCGCCTGCCTCGGCCTCCCAAAGTGCTGGGATTACAGGCATGAGCCACTGTGCCCGGCCAATTATTTTGAGGAGTTTTGCTGCAGAGAAGTGGTTCTCAACTGGGGTGGAGGCAGGGTGGTGACTGTATTCCTAGGGGACATTGGGCAATGTCTGGAGACATCTGAGGTGGGGTGGGTGTTGCTTCTGGCATCGGGTAGATAGATACTAGGGATGCTGCTAAACATTCTTTAATGTATAGGACAGCCCCCCACGGCAAAGTGGAGGAGAAATTTACATTCATGCCAGGCATGGTGGCTCACACCTATAATCCCAGCTACTTGGGAAGCTGAGGCAGGAGAATCACTTGAACCCGGAGGTGGAGGTTTCGGTAAATCTAGATTACACCATGGCACTCCAGCCAGGGTGACAGAGGGAGATTCTGTCAAAAAGAAAAAAAAAATTTTTTTAATTCATATATTTAAGTAGCCAGTCCAAAATGTCAAAGTGTCAATGTGGAGAAGCCCTGTTGTAAAGCAAAGGAGGACATGGTTGGCAGCAGGTGGGTGAAAGAGAGGATTTTTGTTTTCTGATTGGAGAAATATCATTTTTATATACTGATGGGAATGAAGGAGAATGTATCACTGGCTAACTGGTAGAAGAAAGGTTGAGACTGGGCACAGTGGCTCAGGTCTGTAATCCCAGCACTTTGGGAGGCCAAGGTGGGTGGATCACTAGGTCAGGAGTTCAAGACCAGCCTGGCCAATATGGTGAAACTCCATCTCTACTAAAATTACAAAAATTAGTTGGGTGTGGTGGCGCATGCCTGTAGTCCCAGCTACTCGGGAGGCTGAAGCAGAAGAATCGCTTGAACCCGGGAGGCAGAGGTTGCAATGAGCTGAGATCGCACCACTGCACTCCAGCCTGGGTGGCAGAGTGAGACTCAGTCTCAAAAAAAAAAAAAAAAAAAAGAAAAGTTGATAATTCCTGCAAAGAAATAGAGCTAAAACACACCTGTGAAACTGATAAACTCACACAAAGAATGGATGAAGCAAAAATATTTATAGAGAAAAAATTAGAGGCAAAGGGGGACCTACCTCCTCTGGAAATTTTATTTATTTATTTATTTATTTATTTTTTATTTTTTATTTTTTTTGAGACAGGATCTCCCTCTGTTGCCCAGGCTTGAGTGCAGTGGCACAATCATACCTCACTGTAGCCTCAACTTCCCAGGCTTAAGTGGTCCCTCCACCTCAGCCTCCCAAGTAGCTGGGACTATAGGCATGCACCACCACACCAAGCTAATTTAAAAAATTGAGTGTGTGTGGAGATGGGGTCTTGCTATGTTGCCCAGGCTGGTCTTAAACTCCTGGGCTCAAGCTGTCCTCCTGCCTTGGCCTCACAAAGTGCTGGATTACAGGTGTGAGCCACTGTGCCCAATTTTTATTTATTTATTTAGAGTTGTGTCTCTCTCTGTCACCCAGGCTGGAGTGCAGTGGCGAAATCATAGCTCACTGCAGCCTTGACCTCCTGGGCTCAAGCAATCCTTCCACCTCTGCCTCCTGAGTACTTGGGACTACAGGTGTGTGGTACCATGCCCAGCTAATCTGGAAATTTCAAAATATTCATCTTGAAAATCAATTTATCAAAGAGAGGGTAGGTTCTACGGTTAGGTCCCATTAATATGATGTAATTCAGATCATACTGATTTTGTTTTGTTTTGTTTTGAGACAAGGTCTGGCTCTATCACCCAGGCTGGAGTGCAGTGGTGCAATCACAGCTCACTGCAACCTCTACCTTTCGGGCTCAAGAGATAATCCCACCTCAGCCTTCCAAGAAGCTGGGAGTACAGATACCTGCCACCACGCCTGGCTAATTTTTTTTGGTAGAGACAGGGGTTTTGCCATGTTGCCAGGCTGGTCTTGAACTGAGCTCAAGCTGAAACAGGAATTAAAATAAATCAAAAAATGTTTAAACAAAAACTCAGTTGTATATAAGAAAACCCAATTCCCCTTGAGGAAGAGAAAGAGCTGGAGTCCTTTAAAATTAACTGCCTGTCTTTCTGTGGCTAGTGAGCCTTATCTCTCCCTTTCCCAAGCATTGTGAAGACCCTGTTTCTCTAGCTGTGCAGCTACAAGGTCACTAGACAGATAATCTCAAGTTGTAAAACATGTTGTTCCTTAAAAAGTATGAAATAATGTAATGCATGTCTCAATTAAATAACTGTCTTTGTTTCTTGCTTCTGTAATATGCTTCCCCCTGCACAGATCTGCCCCTGCCCCACGAAATGCTTAAAAGGTAACTTGACTCTTTGTTCAGGGCCCAGTCCTTTGGATGTTAATCCGACTGGGTTGGTGCAGCTTAATAATTAAATAATTCCTCCTCAACCCCTCAGTCTCTCTAATTCCTTAATTATCCCGCAGCAAAGTGATCCACCCGCCTTGGCCTCCCAAAGTGCTGGGATTACACACATGACCCACCATGCTTGGCCAGATCATACTGATTTTAATAATATTCAAAGGACATGTATGGTGTTAAAACAACTTGGGACACACAGGAGATATATCCAAGGAGACTAGGCCTCCTCTTCCTCATGGAATCATATTCAGAAAGGATAATTTTGGAGCTGGAGGGCGTGTTAGAGGTTATCTTCATTTTATGTGAGGAAACAGAAGTCCTGGGATGGTAATTGGCTGTGAATCGTTAGGTCAGCTGCGTAACAGATGTAGAATGATGTGGATACCGTGGAGTGTTGGGTCAAATACATTGGAGGAACAACTTATAAATATAAATGTTCTGCTCCACTTAAGTTCATCTCTAAATGTCCAGCAGCTTCCTAAGAATGAAAATTTTTCCCAGCTGCAATCAGACATTTTTCTTAGATCTGTCTTTTGTACAAGGGGAAAAACATAACACTTATAAATTGCTCTAAGGGAAACATTACTTAACATCCCTTAAGTGTCTCCTGGCAGTGATAGGTTTCCTTTCAGTGGAAAAATAACTTCAGGACAAAGAATTTCCCTGAACAACTGGAGGGAATAAATACCACCAGCATCCCAACCAATTTTCCCTCTTTTCAGTAAAGAAGGTTCTAAGATGTCCAGATGGTCATTTTTATTTATGAGATAGTCAGACAAGTAAAAAGACTTAAATAATGGTTTAGGGATAAATCTCAAGGGGATTTGTGATAAAATAGCAAATGGGTGACTTTTTAAAAGCACTCTGAAAGCAGGAACTCAGCTTGTATAACCATGTTCATTGCAGCATTCTTCACGGAAGATGGAAACAACCCAAGTGTCCATGAACAGATGGAGAAGCAAAATGTGGTCTGTCCCTACAAGGGAATGTTATTCAGCTATAAAATAGAATGAAGGGCTGGACACGGTGGCTCACACCTCTAATCCCAGCACTTTGGGAGGCTGAGGCAGACGGATCACCTGAGGTCAGGAGTTCGAGACCAGCCTGGCCAACATGGTGAAACCCCATCTCTACTAAAAATACAACAATTAGCCAGGTGTGGTGGTGGGTGCCTGTAATCCCAACTACTCAGGTGGCTGAGGCACGAGAATCGCTTGAACCCAAGAGACGGAAGTTGCAGTGAGCCGAGATTGCACCACTGCACTCCAGTCTGAGTGACAGCGTGAGACTGTCTAAAAAAAAAAATGAAGTTCTGAGTTCTGATACATGCTACAACATGGATAAATATGACTGAATCTCAAAAACATTACATTAAGTGAAAGAAGCCAAACACAAAAAGGACAAATATCATAAGATTCCTTTTTTTTTTTTTGAGACAGAGGTCTCCGTCTGTCACCCAGGCTGGAGTGCAGTGGCACAATCTCACCTCACTCACTGCAACCTCCACCTCCTGGGTTCAAGTGATTCTCCTGCCTCAGCCTCTCGAGTAACTGAGATTACAGCTGCCCACTACCCTGCCCAGATAATTTTTGTATTTTTGGTAGAAATGGGGCTTTGCCATGTTGGCCAGGCTGGTCTCAAACTCCTGACCTCAAGTGATCTGCCTGCCTCAGCTTCCCAAGGTGCTGGGATTACAGGCGTGAGCCACTGTGCCCAGCTCACATGATTCCATTTATATGAAATGTCCAGGATAGGTGAATGCATGCAGACATCAAGTAGATTAGAGTTTACAGGGGCTGAATGGAAGCGGGGGAGTGGTTTAATGGGGACAGAGTTTCTATTGGGGTGATAAAAAAGTTTTCAAAATAGATAGTGGTGATGGTTGTACAACATTTTGAATGGAATTAATGCCACTGAATTGTACACTTAAAATAGTTAAAATGGCAAAGTTTATGTTACACATGAAAATAGTGTAAAATGCTAAACACCATTGAACATTTTATATGAGTGAATTGTATGTGAATTATTTTTCAACAAGGCTGTTTTTATTTTATTATTATTTTTTATTTTGAGACGGAGTTTTGCTCTTGTTGCCCAGGCTGGAGTGCAATGGTGCGATCTCAGCTCACTGCAACCTCCACCTCCCGGGTTCAAGTGATTCTCCTGCCTCAGCCTCCTGAGTAGCTGGAATTACAGGCATGCGCCACCACGCCTGGCTAATTTTGTATTTTTAGTAGAGACGGGGTTTCTCCATGTTGGTCAGGCTGGTTTTGAACTCCCGACCTCAGGTGATCCACCCGCCTCGAACCTCCTAAAGTGATAGGATTACAGGCGTGAGCCACTGCACCCGGCCAACAAGCCTGTTTTTAAAAAGCCCACAAAACTTGAGTACAGAAACTGTGGAAAAACTCAGAAAGAAAAAAAGTGACGATTGCTCAGGCAAATGGTTCTCAGAATGGTGGGAAAAGCAGAAAAGTGCCAATGTGGACAATCTGTGGTGTCCTTTGCCCTGTTGACAGGAGAAAGTTTCACGTCCTAGTCTGACCCTGGCTCTCAAAAATGTGAGGCATTCCCCCAGTCTTAGCTTTCAAGACAAAAAAATGTGGGGCATTCCCTCCTGCTGGGGCAGCATCCACCCCATCATATTCTACACCCTAAGGTTGCCTTCATGCCAGGCTTGACCACGTCATTTACCTGGGACCAGTATACCATTTTTGGATCTAGTCTGCCCAATTTGGCTCACTTCAGAGCTCATTTGGTTTGAGAGCCACCTTTGCTAAATCTTCTCCAACTGACTTCAACAAAGCCTCTTTTTCTCTGGGCTTCTACCGAACTGGGCATCATATGAACCTTGCAGTATTTCTTCATATCTATCTTGCTACACACATTTCCCATCAGACCATTATGGTCCTAGAGAGCAGAGACCACACTGACATCTCTTGTGCATCCTTTCAATAGCTGGCATAGTGCACCCAACAGAGCAATCTACTCATATTGTTGCATGAATGGGTTACTGAAAATTACACTCTTTCAAAGTAACCACGTTTTGGCTGTGTGGGCCAGCTCTGGATTCCGACAGATTTAGGTTTAATTACCAATTTAGCCAACTTCCAGGTGTGTGAGTTTCAAAAAGTTAATTTCTGTAGCCTCGCCTTCTTCATCTGGAAAAGGGGATAATCTTGCATCTGCCACAAAGGTTTTTTTGTGTTTTTTTTGTTTTTTTGTTTTTGAGACAGAGACTTCCTCTGTCGCCCAGGCTGGAGTGCAGTGGTGTGATATCAGCTCACTGCAACCTCCGCCTCCCAGATTCAAGCCATTCTTCGGCCTCAGCCTCCCAAGTAGCTGGGATTACAGGAACCCACCAGCACGCCCAGCTAATTTGTTGTACTTTTAGTAGAGTCGGGGTTTCACCATGTTGGCCAGGCTGGTCTCGAACTCTTGGCCTCAGGTGATCCACCCTCCTCAGCCTCCCAAAGTGCTGGGATTACAGGCATGAGCCACCGTACCTGGCCTTCTTTTTTTTTTTTTTTTTGAGACAGAGTCTTGCTCTGTCACCCAGGCTGGAGTGCAGCAGCGAGATCTTGGCTCACTGCAACCTCCGCCCCCCAGGTTCAAGCGATTCTCTTGTCTCAGCTTCCCGAGTAGCTGGGATTACAGGTGTGTGCCATCACACCCAGCTAATTTTTAATTTTATTTAATTTTATTATTTTTAAATTTTTATTTATTTTATTATTATTATTTTTTGAGATGGAGTCTTGCTCTTGTCGCCCAGGCTGGAACGCAATGGCACGATCTCAGCTCACTGCAACCTCTGCCTCCCGGGTTCAAGCAATTCTCCTGCCCCAGCCTCCTGAGTAGCTGGGATTACAGGCACTCGCCACCACGCCCAGCTAATTTTTGTATTTTTAGTAGACACGAGGTTTCACCATGTTGGCCAGGTTGATCTCTAACTCCTGACCTCGTGATTCGACTGCCTCGGCCTCCCAAAGTGCTGGGATTACAGGTGTGAGCCACCGCTCCCAGCCTTTTATTTATTTATTTATTTTTGAGATGGAGTCTTGCTGTTACCCAGGCTGGAGTGCAGTGGTGAATCTCAGCTCACTGCAAGCTCCACCTCCCGGGTACAAGGGATTCTCCTGCCTCAACCTCCTGAGTAGCTGGGATTACACACACCTGCCACAACGCCCAGCTAATTTTTCTATTTTTAGTAGAGACAGGATTTCACCATGTTGGCTAGGCTGGTCTTGAACTCCTGACCTCAGGTGATCTGCCCACCTCGGCCTCCCAAAGTGCTGGATTACAAGCGTGAGCCACAGCACCCAGTTCTAATTTTTGTATTTTTAGTAGAGACAGGGTTTCGCCATATTGGCCAGGCTGGTCTCAAACTCCTGACCTCAAGTGATCTGTCCACCTCAGCTTCCCAAAGTGCTAGGATTACAGGCATGAGCCACAGCACCTGGCCCACAAAAAGTATTTTTTTTTTTTGCAAAAGTTAAATAGGATTTAAAACTGTAAAGTGCTTAGCGCACTGCCAGATCACCTATAAATTGGAGCTGCAGAGTTGAAGCAAAGTGGAAAATCATGATGGATGATTTATCTCAATATCAACACAGAACAGATGTGGCCCTAAAATTACACTCTCCTAATGGCATGGTCTTCCAAACATCTATAAACAAAAACGAAGGGGGAAACAAACCAAATGCCTTTTGGTGGAATAGTATTACATCCCTTTCTGGACATAGCACCAAACTTTTTATGAAGGTCTTCAGTACTAATACTTTTGGGAAAAAGAAAAACGTCAAATCAAACAGTTCACATAGATCTTGTTCATGTATTTCCATGTACTGTAATCTTTCCACACATATGACAGTAATTAGTGGCATATGGCAATGATGAATGTAAACAGGATGCTTAAGAAAGAAGAACAAGATGACCATCGTCCTCACACTGTTTTGGGCTAACGTGCTTTTATAAAAGATTTTCTTTTCTTTTTTTTTTTTTAGACGGAGTCTCCCTCTGTCGCCCAGGCCGGAGTGCAGTGGCACAATCTTGGCTCATTGTAACCTCCACCTTCTGGGTTCAAGTGATTCTTCTGTCTCAGCCCCCCGAGTAGCTGGGATTATAGGTGTGCACCACCATGCCTGGCTAATTTTTCTATTTTTAGTAGAGATGGGGTTTCACCATGTTGTCCAGGCTGGTTTCGAATTCCTGATCTCAAATGATCCACCTGCCTTAGCCTCCCAAAGTGCTGGGATTACTGTGCCCAGCCAAGATTTGATTTTCTATCAATCTTTTTTTTTTTTTTTTTTTTGGTGACGGAGTCTTGCTCTGTTGCCAGGTTGGAATGCAGTGGTGTGATCTTGGCTCACAGCAACCTCCGCCTCCTGGGTTCAAGCAATTCTCCTGCCTCAGCCTCCCGAGTAGCTGGGATTACAGGCATATGCCACCACACCCAGCTAAGTTTTGTACTTTTATTAGAGACAGGGTTTCACAATGTTGGCCAAGATGGTCTCGATCTCCTGACCTCGTGATCCGCCCACCTCGGCCTCCCAAGGTGCTGGGATTACAGGCATGAGCAACCGGGTCCAGCCAATCTTTTTTTTTTTAAGTAGTTTTTTTCCTCCTGGTTATTAAGAGAACACATATCTTACTGAATTATAGATATATTTTACTCTGAATGTACAAGTCTTGTACTCTCTCCTGCCCCAAGATATTCATTGTTAAGTTTGCTGTACATGCTTCTAGTTTTTCCAGGAGTATATACAATGAAATAAACATTGTATTGGGATCATACTATAATACTGTCTTCAACTTTTTTCTTTTTTTTGAGACAGAGTCTCTATCACCCAGGCTGGAGTGCAGTGGCTCGATCTCAGCTCATTGCAACCTCCGCCTCCTGGGTTGAAGCGATTCTCGTGCCTCAGCCTCCTGAGTAGCTGGGATTACAGGCATGTGCCATCACACCCAGCTAATTTTTGAATTTTTATTAGAGACAGGGTTTCACCATGTTGGCCAGGATGGTCTCGATCTCCTGACCTGGTGATCCGCACGCCTCGGCCTCCCAAGGTGCTGGGATTACAGGCATGAGCCACCGGGTCCAGCCAATCTTTTTTTTTTAAGTAGTTTTTTTCCTCCTGGTTATTAAGAGAACACATATCTTACTGAATTACAGATACATACTACTCTGAATGCCTAAGTCTTGTACTCTCTCCTGCCCCAAGATATTCAAGTTTGCTGTACATGCTCCTAGTTTTCCCAGGAGTACATACAGTGAAATAAACATTGTATTGGGATCATACTGTAATACTGTCTTCAACTTTTTTTTGAGACAGTCTGTCTCTGTCACCCAGGCTGGAGTACAGTGGCTTGATCTTGGCTCACTGCAACCTCCGCCTCCCAGGTCCAAGAGTTTCTCCTGCCTCAGCATCCAAAATAGCTGGGATTACTGGTGCCCACCACTATGTCCGGCTAATTTTTTGTATTTTTAGTAGAGATGGGGTTTCACTATGTTGGCCAGGCTGGTCTCGAACTCCTGACCTCATGATCCACCTGCCTCGGCTTCCCAAAGTGCTGGGATTACAGGCGTGAGCCACCTCACCTGGTCGTCTTCTACTTTATTTAAAACTCAATAATGTATTCTAAGATATCTTACCATGACAGGATAGGTAGAACTGAACCATATTTAATTTTATGGATGGACCATAATTTAGTTATCCAATTCCCTATTGAGAGATGGCTGAACTATTTTCTTTCTTTTTTTTTCCAGAAAAGGATTTTTTTTTATTCAAGTAACTGCAAATAGGAAACCAGAGGGGGAGCCCCAGGCTGGGACAAATCATGGTCACCCCTCCCCAACAGAACAGGGGGAGGAGGTGGCCCCTACGCCCTTTATGGTTGATTCGGGACCCCTTGCTCACTCTGCTGCAGCATCCTAGGGGCAGGGCCCCACCTTCCCTGGGACTGGGGTAGGCGGTCACCCAGCCTGCCATGCCCCAGCCCCTCTTCCCTACAAAGAGTATCTTGCGGGAGGGGATCGTGGGCAGAACAGGAGGCAGTGAGGATGAATATTTGGCGCTGGTAGCAGCAGCAATGACGGATGTGGAAGAATGGAACATTGAACAAAAAACAACACAACTGTTCAGAGGTAGTTTGTGGACAGAGGAAAAATGGAACCAGAACCTTGAGGGGCAGGGAAGAGCAGGAGCGGGGTTGGGAGCGGGCAGGGTGAGCTCCTTGCTATTGGTGCCCCATCTGAGGAGGGGGAAATGGCTGAGTGGCGGAAGCAAAGTAGGGTTAGGGGAGCAGCCCCAGCCCACCTCAGGCGGCGGACACAGGGCTCGTGGGCCTCACCTGGACAATAAGTGACTGCATCTCCATCACCACAATATGTACTCGATCCCAGGCGGAGGGCAAGGGGGCTGCGGCCACAGTGAAGAGGGAGTAGGGGACTCACCCCTCCTGCCTTCCTGTAGCCGAAGGGGGCTGTCCAACCTAGTGCAGGGACTAGGGAAGGTGGGGAAGGATGAAAAGTGTGAGCCCCACGTGGTGACAAAGACAGTTTGGCTGGGGGAATCCTGGGGGCCAGCACCCCCCTCCATTGGCCACACCTGCTGCTGCCAGGGCAGTGGAGTAGGGCGTGCCAGGATGAGATGGGGCTTGGGCCCCTTTTAAGGCCAGGGGAACCCTCCCAGGCCCCACTATGGGAGGCCAGAGGGAACAGTGAAGCAGAGAGGGCGCCCCCAAACCAAAAGCCCAGAGAGCAATGTCCCCACCACCAACGGAGTGGGGACGCAGCAGGTGCAGGGTGCGGCTAAGTGAGATGCTAGCCTTGTCCAGGAGGGCATGTGTGTATGCGTGGGTGGGCGGGGGGAGCTGGGAACTGAGGCCAGGGGAAAACTGCTCCCCACTCAGCCCATGGGAGCCCTGCAGTGGCTGGTGTGCTGCGTAGTGTGGTGGTGTGGGCACAGGTGGAAGATGGGGGTGGCGGCCAGAGGCGGTGGTGATGGTGGGCCTGCGGAAGGGGCGAGGGCGGTGGGAGCGGAGCAAAGCTGTCCAGTCCCAGAAGGCAGCTGCTCCTCCAGTGAGGAGCAGGCGGCACGCACGGTTCACTGCTCCTCCTCCGAGGACTCTTGCGAGATGCCCTCCTCTTCCTACTTCTCCAGTTTTTTGGGTCTGCCCCTTGGTTTCCTTCCTGGAGTTATGGTGGTTTTCCGGGTCTTGGCGGCACCCTTGTTTTTGCTTCCCTTTGGTTGGCCCCGAGGTCTCTTAGGTGTTGGCACTTCGCTGGGCTCCTTCTGACTCCCTACAAGCGCTGTCCCAGGACTCATCGGAGGCTGCTTGCGCGGCCTGCCCCGGCCCCGCTTCTCAGTGCCCTCCTTTTCCTGCTTGGAGGCCAAGGGCTGGCTGGACTTCGAGCTCGACTCGCTCATCTTCCCTTCTCTAAGGAGCAGGTGAAAGAGTGATGGCTGGGATGCTTCTTGGAACCGCGCCAGCGCGAGAAATAGCCCTGGCTCGGAGTCCCAATTAGAGGACGGCTGAACTATTTTCAGTGTGTGCGTGTGTGTGTGTGTGTGTGTGTGTGTGTGTGTGTTCCCAGCATTCAACAATATGAAGTTGAGTTGCTTGATCAAAAATAATAAAATCTGGAGGCTGGGAGCAGTGGCTCACGCCTGTAGTCCTAGCACTCTGAGAGGCTGAAGCAGGAGGATCACTTGAGCCCAGGAGTTCGAGATCAGTGTGGGCAACATGGTGAGACCCCATCTTTATTTAAAAAAAAAAAAAAAAAAAAAAAAAGGCCGGGCGCGGTGGTTCACACCTGTAATCCCAGCACTTCAGGAGGCCGAGGCGGGTGGATCACGAGGTCAGGAGATTGAAACCATCCCGGCTAACACGGTGAAACCCCGTCTCTACTAAAAATACAAAAAATTAGCCGGGCGTGGTGGCGGGCGCCTGTAGTCCCAGCTACTCGGGAGGCTGAGGCAGGAGAATGGCATGAACCAGGGAGGCGGAGCTTGCAGTGAGCCGAGATGGTGCCACTGTACTCCAGCTTTGGCGACAGAGTGAGACTCCGTCTCAAAAAAAAAAAAAAAAAAAAAAAAAAAAAAAGAAGGGGAAGAAAATAAAAATCTGAGAACTATTACTAAATTACCTTGTCTAAAAAGTCAACATTATAATTGTTTTTAATGTCAGCATTACATTTCAATTAAAGCTGTATTTTAAAGTTCATACTATTGGACCGGGCGTGGTGGCTCACGCCTGTAATCCTAGCACTTTGGGAGGCTGAAGCGGGTGGATCACCTGAGGTCAGGAGTTTCAGACCAGCCTGGCCAACATGGTGTAACCTTGTCTCCACTAAAAATCCACAAATTAGCTGGGCATCGTGGCGCACGCCTGTAATCCCAGCTATTTGGGAGGCCGAGGCAGGAGAATCGCTTGAACCTAGGAGGTGCAGGTTGCAATGAGCTGAGATTGCGCCACTGCAATCCAGCCTGGGTGACAGAGCAAGGCTCTATCAAAAAAAAAAAATCAGACTATATTCATGTATAATTTATAATAAATCATTTGGAAATTGTCCTCTTGCATATATTAAAAAACAAAATATAACAAAACAAAACACCTACCACGATAAAGTCCCAAGGGGAAATGGTCCAGAAGCTAGTTCCAGCGCCTGTGGCCCGTGCGCCCCCTGCTGGCAGTAACGGAACTGGGAACAGGACCCAGAGTAAGCTGGTTTTCTATCATGATGGTTCCACAATTAAAAAAAAAAAAAAAAAAGGGGCCGGGCACGGTGGCTCACGCCTGTAATCCCAGCACTTTGGAGGGCCAAGGCGGGCGGATCACGAGGTCAGGAGATCGAGACCATCCTGGCTAACACGGTGGTCTCTACTAAAAATACAAAAAAGTTAGGGGGGCGTGGTGGCGGGCGCCTGTAGTCCCAGCTACTCGGCAGGCTGAGGCAGGAGAATGGCGTGAACCCGGAAGGCGGAGCGAGGCGGAGCTTGCAGTGAGCCGAGATCGCGCCACTGCTCTCCAGCCTGGGAGACAGAGCGAGACTACGTCTCAAAAATATATATATATCTATATAGATCTCTACAGATATCTAGATATCTATCTATATATATAGATATTTATCTATAGATATATCTACATATCTATATATAGATCTATATATCTACATATCTATATATAGATATATCTATATAGCTCTATATATCTACATATCTATATATAGATCTATATCTATCGATCTATATATCTAGATATATAGATCGATAGATCTATATCTAGATACATATCTAGATATATAGATCGATAGATCTATCTCTAGATATCTATAGATATCTCTAGATATCTAGATATGTCTATAGATATATATACATACATACATATATTTGGCTGGGCGCGGCGGCTCACGCTTATGCCAGCACTTTGGGAGGCCAAGGCAGGCGGATCACTTAAGGTCAGAAGTTTAAGACCAGCCTGGCCAACGTGGTGATATGTTTAAAATAAAATTTTTTTTTCTTTTTTGAGACAGGGTCTCAACTCTGTCGCCCAGGCTGGAGTGCAGTGGTGCGATCATGGCTCATAGCAGCCTCGACCTCTAGCCACCAGGCCTGGCCCCAAACCTGTAATCTTGAAATGAATCAGGGTGGCTTTCTCTCCTTTCTGACATGTCTGTAACCCCTGTGGCAGAAGTTCCAACCCAAACACCAAAACTCTGATTCTGGGTTAAGAATTTTAATTTAGGACAGGTGCAGTGGCTCATGCCTGTAATCCCAGTGTTTGGGAGGCTGAGGTGGGTGGATCACTTGAGTCCAGGAGTTTGAGACCAGCCTGGACAACACAGCAAAACCTTGTCTTGCTGGGCGCTGTGACTCACACCTGTAATCCCAGGACTTTAAGAGGCCGAGGTGGATGGATCACTTGAGGTCAGGAGTTTGAGACCAGCCTGGCCAATATGGTGAAGCCCCGTCTCTACTAAAAATACAAAATTAGCCAGGCGTGGTGGCACAAGCCTGTAATCCCAGTTACTCAGGAGGCTGAGGCAGGAGAATAGCTTGAACCTGGAAGGCAGAGGTTCCAGTGAGCCAAGATTGCACCACTGCACTCCAGCCTGGGAGACAGAGAGAGACTCAGTCTCAAAAAAAAAAAAAAAAAGCAAAAAACAAACCAAACCAAAACAAAAAACACAAAAAAACATGATACCCCATCTCTACCAAAAATACAAAATTAGCTGGGCCTGGAGATGTGTGCCTGTAGTCCCAGCTACTGGGGAGGCTAAGGCGAGAAGATTGTTTGAGCCCAAGAGGTCGAGGCTGCAGTGGGCCGTGTTCATGCCACTGCACTCCAGCCTGGGCAACAGTGATACCCTGTTTCAAAAACAAACAAACAAACAAATTTTAATTAAACAAACAAAACCCCCCACGACACACCACCACCACTCTTTTGGCTTCAGGACTGTCCTTCTGTTTATCTATGGAGTAGGTTTTCACATATCCATTCCTTTTGCTGTGTGAACTGTGGTATTTAGCTAGCTTGTAATTCAAGTCTTTAAACAGATGCTCAAGAGCATTTAACCCACATATTAAAATCATATATTCACCCGTAAAAACAAAATGCAAATACTCTAATCATTCAAGTACTACCATAAACTCTAGGTTTTTTTTTTTTTTTTTGGAGATGGAGTCTCACTCTCTTGCCCAGGCTGGAGTGCAGTGGTGCAATCTCCACTCACTGCAAGCTCCGCCTCCCAGGTTCACGCCATTCCCCTTCCACAGCCTCCTGAGTAGCTGGCACTACAGGCGCTCGCCACCACGCCTGGCTAATTTTTTGTATTTTTTTAGTAGAGACGGAGGTTTCACTGTGTTAGCCAGGATGGTCTCGATTCTCCTGACCTTATGATCCGCCCGCCTTGGCCTCCCAAAGTGTTGGGATTACAGGCGTGAGCTACCGCGTCTGGCCGTTTTTTTTTTTTGAGACGAAGTTTCACTCGTTGCCCAGGCTGGAGTGTAATGGCGCGATCTCAGCCTACCGCAACCTTCGGCTCACCGTAACCTCTGCCTCCCAGGTTTAAGCGATTCTCCTGCCTCAGCCTCCCGAGTAGCTGGGATTACAGGCATGCGCCACCACGCCCAGCTGAGTTTTTTTTTTTTTTTTTTTTTTTTTTGAGATGGAGTTTCGCTCTTGTTGCCCAAGCTGGAGTGCAATGGTGCGATCTCGGCTCACTGCAACCTCTGCCTCTCAGGTTCAAGCGATTCTTCTGTGTCAGCCTCCCGAATAGCTGGGATTACGGGCGCGTGCCACCATGCCCGGCTAATTTTTGTATTTTTAGTAGAGACATTGTTTCATCATATTGGTCAGGCTGGTCTCAAACTCCTGACCTCAGGTGAGCCGCCTGCCTGGGCCTCCCAAATTGCTGGGATTACAGGCGTGAGCCATCGCACCCGGCCCGGCTGGTTTTTGTATTTTTAGTAGAGACCAGGTTTCTCCGTGTTAGTCAGGCTAGTCTCAAACTCCCGACCTCAGGTGATCTGCCCGCCTGGGCCTCCCAAAGTGCTGGGATTACAGGCGTGATCCACTGCGCCTGGCCATATTAGTATATTTTATTTCATACATATACACAGAGAGAAAAAAAAGAAAAAGAGAAAAGAAAGCACTGATATATGCTCTAACATGGATGAATTAGAAAACATTAAGTCAAAGAAGCTAGACATAAAAGGCCACATGTTGTATAAAAAATTCAATTTACATGAATTATCCAGAATAAGCAAATCCATAGAGACAGAAAGTAGATTAATACTGGGAGGAGGGGTGGGAGGGACAGGGGGCTTGGGGAGGAATGTGGGGTGGGGTGGCTGCTAAAGAGTGCAGGTTCACTACACCGGGGTGATGAAAATGCTCTGGATTTACTGGGGATGGTTGTAAAACTTCATGTATATACTAAAAAAAGTGAATTGTACACTTTAAAAGGGCATTATGGAATGTGAATTTTATCTCAAAACAAATTGTAAGTGAATGTCAAAGACTGGCAATAAAGTTTTTCTGACATGGAATGTTAGAAATTTCTTTATTATTACTTATTCTTATTAAGCGCCAGCTTTAATGCTGCAGAAAATTTCAAATCACCCTTGATAACCCACTTTCTTTTCTCCCACCCAAATTCTTGATCAAGAGTTTTTCAAGTAAAGACATGCTCTTCTCTCTTCTGTATAAAACTTTACGAAATAAAGGCAAAAGATTGTGTACATCTTGCTGGAAAATGCTGCCCAGGGCTCTGGAGACGGTGGCTGCCCGGGCTCCCTTCACTGTCCAGGTCCTGAAAGACTCTTGTTCATGAACTGTCTCTTCACAAAGCAAGTCCACCACTAACAAGAGAGAACAACACAGAATGAACAGCGGGGTCAAATTACAATAGAATTTGCATTTATTTAATAATAAAATTTCACATTAGTCTGGAATCTCTTATAAACTTTTTTTTTTTTTTTTTGAGACGGAGTCTCGCTCTGTCGCCCAGGCTGGAGTGCTGGAGTGCAGTGGTGTGATCTTGGCTCACTGCAAGCTCCGCCTCCTGGGTTCATGCCATTCTCCTGCCTTAGCCTCCCCAGTAGCTGGGACTACAGGCGCCTGCCACCACGCCTGGCTAATTTTTTGTATTTTTTAGTAGAGACGGGGTTTCACCATGTTAGCCAGGATGGTCTCAATCTCCTGACCTCATGATCCGCCTGCTTTGGCCTCCCAAAGTGCTGGGATTAGAGGCGTGAGCCACCGCGCCTGGCCATAAACCCTTTTTAGACAAAGTCTCACTCTGTCATTCAGGCTGGAGTGTAATGGCATGATCTTGGCTCACTGCAACCTCCACTTCCTGGGTTCAAGCGACTCTCTTGTCTCAGCCTCCTGAGTAGCTGAGATGACAGGTGCACACCATCATGCCTGGCTAATTTTTTGTATTTTCAGTAGAGATGGGGGTTTCACCATGTTGGCCAGGCTGGTCTCGAACTCCTGACCGCAAGTGATCCACTCGCCTCGGCCTCCCAAAGTGGTGGGATTACAGGCGTGAGCCACTGCGCCCGGCCTGCAATTCATTATTTAGTGTGATTCAGTGAACTCATATTACATACTAGACATATACTGGAAGTTAAGCAACATTGCAATGCAGAAATTAAAAATATTCTTGCAATGGAAGACCTTAGTGTGTTCAATGGTGGCTATGGGATAAAAGGTGATTTACCAATTAAGCAGGCAAGAAGAGGGTCTTACCTTGCTGGGTTTATCATTCTGAGGGTCGAAAACTTTCTCACAAAGTCTCAGTCCAGTCTCTTGCCTTAGCTGTTGTAAATAGGCTCTCATCACTTCTAAAACAGAACAATTTAAAAAAAACTGTATTTGCAAATACATCCCAAATGTACTGGTTGCAGCTCTGGATGCTCACTGTGGTAATACATTTTTATACATTTGAACAGGATACAAAATAGAAATGACAGTCCAGATAGTTTTATAACTATATTTGTTTTTGTTCAAAAGATTTTCTGCATGTCATCCTTGTTGCCAAGAATCGTTTGTGAGAGTGACTAATAAGATAATGTACTTCCTATGATTTCACTCTCAATCTGTACATGAATCAAGGCAAGAAAAAGAGGGGTGGTAGGAAGTCAAATGGAGAAAATCTTCTTGTGTCACAGAGTGAGGATAGAGACCTGTTCTTACCATCTTCCTGTTTGTTTGCAGGTTTGGCATAAATTGCGTTAAGTGGAAAACCAGGCTCTCCAGGAATGGGAAAATTAGTGATTCCCAGCGTATACATTTCTTTCTCACCTTGGCTTTTGGAATTGCACTGGAAAAAAAAATATATATATATATATACACACACACACACACACACACACACACACACACACACACACATATTTTACAGGGAAAAGAAGAATTCTATCCTTGGACCCCAGGTTAAGAACCCTTGAGTCAAGGGCTTAAAAGGAATTCCTCTGTCAAGATTTCTGTCTTGAGAAAATATATTCAAAGCCTTAAAACACCACTACTTTTATCTTTGTGTCAGTCAATTATACTACAAGTTCAGGTAACTAAATTCAAATTTTTCTCTTAAGTCCATGCTGTAAGTCAGAGGAAATATTTTCTACTTGTCTTTAAAGTCTCAACAAATCCCAGATGACTGGGAGGGTAAATGCCTCTCAGCAATTTGTTTTCCTGATATACAATCATCCAAGTTTAATTACCTTTTGCAGTTTCTTCAGACATTCAGAAATGTAGAGAGTTATATATATCAAGGTCCTATCAGCTTCATTCTACAGGGAGAAAAAGAAGACTTAAAAACAGTTATCAAAACATAACAATGATGTGCAATGTATGCATTCCATCTTTGTCTTCTGATTATCTGCTGAATGCAGTGGTAGGACAGCCACTATCACATCAAAACTCCCATTCTCCAAATGCACAGTCTCCTCAGTCTCCTTTTCCGTCTGCCCCTGGGAGGAAGGCACAAGCCCCACTCTGAGATGTGCAGCTGCTTTTTTTTTTTGAGACGGAGTCTTGCTCTGTTGCCCAGGCTGGAGTGCAGTGGCACAATCTCAGCTCACTGCAACCTCCACCTCCCAGGTTCAAGCAATTCTCCTGCCTCAGCCTCCCGAGTAGCTGGGATTACAGGTGCCCGCCACCACGCCTGGCTAATTTTTCTATTTTTAGTAGAGACGGGGTTTCACCATGTTGGCCAGGTTGGTCTCGAACTCCTGACCTCAAGTGATCTGTCCACCTCAGCCTCCCAAAGTGCTGGGATTACAGGCATGAGCCACCACGCTCGGCTGAGTGGCTGCTCTCTCTTGTTTTTCTCGGCTCCCCTTGCCCCAGGGTTCCCAAGGATCTGTGTCAACAGCCCCTCACTGTATAGGAAGAAGTAACAAAGCTGCCTGGAAAGCCTGAACTGCTCCATATGGTTGGCTAATTTTTAAAAACCCTTCCCTTCAGGGTCTCTGCCGAGAACAGAAATAGTCATTACTCTAAAGGAGGAAGCAACTATTTCACATTTGACTTGCTCCCAAAGAACTCCATAATCTCAATGTCTTGACCTAACCAAAAAGAAAATGTGGAGAAGACAAATGAATGTTGATCAAATGTGGTATGGACTTTGGGTCAAATTTTACACAAATTTAGGCCAGGTGCAGTGGCTTATGCCTGTAATCCCAGCACTTTGGGAGGTTGAGGTGGGTGGATTGCTTGAGCCCAGGAGTTTGAGACCAGCCTGGGCAACATGGCGAAACACCGTCTCTACTAAAAATACAAAAATTAGCCAGTCATGGTGGCGTGCGCCTGTAATCCCAGCTGCTAGGGAGGCTAAGGCCACAGAATCGCTTGAAGCCAGGAGGCAGAGGTTGTAATGAGTCAAGACTGTACCACTGCACTGCAGCCTGGGCAACAGAGCAAGACTCTGTCTCGAATTAAAAAAAAAAAAAAAAAGGCCGGGTGCGGTGGCCCACACCTGTAATCCCAACACTTTGGAAGTCCAAGGTGGGTGTATCACGAGCTCAGGAGATCGAGACCATCCTGGCCAACGTGGTGAAACCCTGTCCCTACCAAAAAATACAAAAATTAGCTTGGCGTGGTGGCGCGTGCCTGTAATCCCAGCTACTTGGGAGGCTGAGGCAGGAGAACCACTTGAACCCGGGAGTCGAGGGTTGCACTGAGCCGAGATCACGCCATTGCACTCCAGCCTGGTGACAGAGCGGGACTCTGTCTCAAAACAAAAAAACAACAAAAAAATTACCCCCAAACCACACCATTTTCCTATATATTTTTTTTTTTTTGAGTGTTTCACTTTTGCTGCCCAGGCTGGAGTGCAATGGCGTGATATTGGCTCACCGCAACCTCTGCCTCCTGGGTTCAAGTGATTCTCCTGCCTCAGCCTCCCAAGTAGCTGGGATTACAGGCACGCACCACCACGCCCAGTTAATTTTGTATTTTTAGTAGAGACGGGGTTTCCCCATGTTGGTCAGGCTGGTCTCAAGCTCCCGACCTCAGGTGATCCGCCCGCCTTGGCCTCCCAAATTACGGGCAGAGGCACTGCGCCCAGCCACATTTCCCTATTTTTAAGACAATATAGTATCTGGGAACAAATGAAATGTGGCAGAGTTTTTTGTTTTTTTTTTGAGACAGTCTTGCTCTGTCGCCCAGGCTGGGTGCAGTGGTGTGATCTCGGCTCACTGCAACCATCACCTCCTGGGTTCAAGCAATTCTTGTGCTTCAGCCTCCCGAGTAGCTGGGATTACAGGCATGCACTACTACACCTGGCTAATTTTTGTATTTTTGGTAGAGATGGGGTTTCGCTTTGTTGGCCAGGCTGGTCTCAAACTCCTGGCATCATGTGATCCACCCGCCTCAGCCTCCCAAGTGTTGGGATTACAGGCGTGAGCCACCATGCACTAATTTTTCTATTTTTTGTAGAGACGGGGGTTCGCCATGTTGCCCAGGCTGGTCTCGAACTCCTGAACTCAAGCAATGTGCCCAGAGAATTGTAACATTTATAACTGTTACAAACTTAACCCACACATGAGATATAGAAAACATTCTATTACCATCACAGAATGTTTAGACTACAATTTGTACACCAAGAGTCTACAAATAAATAATTCACAACCTGTTTGATTCCAGAAGTTCAGAGTTTGGCAAGGAGGGGCTGAAATTCCATTTTAGGGCCGGGAGCGGTGGCTCACGCCTGTAATCCCAGCACACTGAGAGGCTGAGGTGAGCGGATCATGAGGTCAGGAGATCGAGACACCATCCTGCCTAACATTGTGAAACCCCGTCTCTACTAAAAATACAAAAAATTAGCCAGGTGTGGTGGTGCATGCCTGTAGTTCCAGCTACCTGGGAGGCTGAGGCAGGAGGACTGTCTGAGCCCAGGAGGTTGACGGTATAGTGAGCTGTGATTGTGCCACTGCACTCTAGCCTGGGCGACGGAGCAAGACCCTGTCTCAAAACAAAACAAAAGGCTGGCACATAGTAGGTGCTGCTTAACTAATGTTGAATAAATAAAGATACTTCTAGCAAGGGGTTGGCAAACTTTCTCTGTAAAAGGCAGGCAGTATTTTTAGGTTTTGTGGGCCATACAGTCTTTGTCACAACTACTCAATTCTGCTGTTTTGGTGTGAAAGTAACTATAGATAATATAGAAACAAATGGTTGTGGCTGTGTTCCAATAAAGGTTTATTCATAAAAAGGGGCAGTGGGCCAAATGTGGCCCTCAGGTTAGAGTTTGCCAACCCCTGGTATAGAATTTGGAGGAAAAAAAAAGAAACTAATATTTATACAAAAGCTAACATTAAGCACTGCTCTCGAATTTAAAAATTACATGCTGATTTCATTTTATTTTCTCCTCACAGCAATCTGGATAGCAAGGTTGGTATTATCCCTATGAGAAAACTAAGTTAAATATTAAAAGCTCCGTAATTTACCTTAATTTCATAGTTTTTGAAGAAGACATTGGCCTTGAAGTAATAGATGGCTTCATCCACAATATCTGTATCTTTTGCTAAGCAGGACACAAGGGAAGGAGCACAGAGAACATTAGCCAAATACAAAACATAACAACTATCAAAGCCATAAAGGGAAAACACATACAACTGTCAACAGTTGTGGAGTTGAATAAAATAAAATGATCCTATTGAAATACAAAGTTTTTAGAAAATATTTATTTGTTTTTTTTTTGAGACAGAGTCTCGCTCTGTCACCCAGGCTGGAGTGCAGTGGCGTGATCTTGGCTCACTGCAAGCTCTGCCTCCCGGGTTCACGCCATTCTCCTGCCTCAGCCTCCTGAGTAGCTGGGGCTACAGGCACCTGCCACCACACCCCGCTAATTTTTTGTATTTTTAGTAGAGATGGGGTTTCACCATGTTAGCCAGGATGGTCTTGATCTCCTGACCGCGTGATCCGCCCATCTCGGCCTCCCAAAGTGCTGGGATTACAGGCATGAGCCACCGTGCCCAGCCTTTGTTTTTTTTTTTGAGACAGAGTTTCACTCTGTCGCCCAGGCTGGAGTGCAGTGGCGCGATCTTGGCTCACTGCAAGCTCCGCCTCCCGGGTTCACGGCATTCTCCTGCCTCAGCCTCCCAAGTAGCTGGGGCTATAGGCACCTGCCACCATGCTCAGCTATATTTTTTGTATTTTTAGTAAAGACGGGGTTTCACCGTGTTAGCCAGGATGGTCTTGATCTCCTGACCTCGTGATCCGCCCATCTCGGCCTCCCAACGTGCTGGGATCACAGGCATAAGCCACCGTGCCCGGCCAAATTTTTTTTTTTTGAGACGGAGTCTTGCTCCGTCGCCCAGACTGGAGTGAAATGGCATGATCTCGGCTCACTCTGCCTCCCGGGTTCAAGCGATTCTCCTGCCTCAGCCTCCCAAGTAGCTGGGATTATACGCATGTACCACCAGGCCTGGCTAATTTTTGTATTTTTAGTAGAAATGGGGTTTCACCTTGTTGGTCAGGCTGGTCTCGAACTCCTGACCTCGTGATCTGCCTGCCTCAGCCTCCCAAAGTGCTGGGATTACAGGAGTGAGCCACCACCCCCGGATTTTCAGAAAATATTTATAGAAAAGTAGTACATGGTTTATTTTTACAGCTTTATTGTTTTCGTAAAACTTATACATGCTCATTAGAAAATGAAATTCAATCAAAACAGTTTTATTTTTTAGAGAGAGGTCTTGCTCTGTTACCCGGGCTGGAGTGCAGTGGTACAATTATAACTCACCACAGACTTGAATTCCTGAGCGCAAGTGATCCTCCTGCTTCAGCTTCCCAGGTAGCCGGGACTACAGGCATGCACCATGAGGCCTGGCTAATTTTTTTCTTTAAAAATTAAATAAAATTTTTAAAGAAAAGTTTTTAAAGATGGCTGGGCACAGTGACTCACGCCTGTAATCCCAACACTTTGGGAGGCCGAGACGGGTGGATCACCTGAGGTCAGGAGTTTGAGAGCAGCCTGGCCAACATGGTGAAACTGCGCCTCTACTAAAAATACAAAAAATTAGCCAAGCATGGTGGCAGGCACCTGTAATCCCAGCTATTCGGGAGGCTAAGGCAGGAGAATCGCTTGAACTCGCGGGTGGAGGATGCAGTGAGCCAAGATTGCACCATTGCACTCCAGCCTGGGCAACGAGATCAAAACTCTGTCTCCAAAAAAAAAAAAAAAGTTTTTTTTAGAGATGCAGTCTCACTATGTTGCCTAGGCTGGTCTCAAACTCCTGGCCTCAAGTGATCCTCCTGCCTCCTGAGTAGCTAGGATTACAGGCATAAGCCACAGCACCAGGCAAAAAAAAAATTTTTAATTGTCACCTTAATTCCCATTTCCCCAAAAATAACTACCATTAGCATTTGGTGAACATTATTCAAGACGTCTCTCAATGCATTTATAAAAAAACACTGAGACATAGACTAACTTTAACTGCTTCCTAAAAATAAAAAGTATTCAGTCGGGCGCAGTGGCTCACGCCTGTAGTCCCAGCACTTTGGGAGGCTGAGGCGGATGGATTGCCTGAGGTCAGGAGTTCGAGACCAGCCTGGCCAACATGGAGAAACCCTGTCTCTACTAAAAATACAAAAACTAGCCGGGCATGGTGGTACGTGCCTGTAATCCCAGCTACTCAGGGGGCTGAGGCAGGAGAATTGCTTGAACCCAGGAGGCAGAGGTTGCAGTGAGCTGAGATCATTCCACCAAACTCAAGCCTGGGTGACAGAGCGAGACTCCATCTCAAAAAAGTAATAATAAAAAATATATATAATTAAATAAAATAAAAAGTATTCAATATAATTTTATTTGAATTTACATATTATAGTTTCAGAAAAAAACTCAATTATTTAGAACATGTTGAGGTTCAGATACACATCTTTCTTTTTATGAAAACTATGACTTAAAATATACTTGTACAAGCTGTTGTAGGTAGCTCTAGACGGACAAAAGCCAGAAATACTGTCTTGACAAAGACAGATCTCATGACACAATTTGTTTGGCAATTTTTTGTTTTTCTTCTTCTTATTTTAAAAAGGTCAAAATCCCAGGGTCTTGATATCTGGCAGTTGGTTTCAGCAGTGCTGAGACAGTTACTTATACTTCTTGTCTATGACTGTTAACGTTCTCGCACAGCAGAAATGCAAAGTAATCTTGAAGCTTTCATACTCTGCAATTCAGTTGTCTTCATCCCAGCTCATTGCCCTGTGGAAGAATTTCAACAGAACTCTAACTCTAGACTTGTGTTCCTTGCAATTTACTTTTTTTTTTTTTGAGATGGAGTCTCGCTCTGTTGCCCAGGCTGGAGTGCAGTGGTGCAATCTTGGCTCACTGCAAGCTCTGCCTCCTGGGTTCACGCCATTCTCCTGCCTCAGCCTCCCGAGTACCTGGGACTACAGGAGCCCGCCACCACGCTTGGCTAATTTTTTGTATTTTTAGTAGAGATGGGGTTTCACCGTGTTAGCCAGGATGGTCTCGATCTCCTGACCTCGTGATCCACCCGTCTTGGCCTCCCAAAGTGCTAAAGTACTGGGATTACAGGCGTGAGCCACCGCGCCACGCCCTATTTTTTATTTATTTATTTTTTCGAGATCAAGTCTCACTTTGTCGCCCAGGCTGGAGTGCCATGGCACAATCTAGGCCCAGTGCAACCTCCGCCTCCTGAGTTCAAGTGATTCTCCTGTCTCAGCCTCCCATGTAGCTGGGACTACAGGTGCCTGCCACCACAGCTAGCTAATTTTGGTATTTTTGGTAGAGACAGAGTTTCACCATGTTGGCCAGGCTGGTCTCAAACTCCTGACCTGAGGCAATCTGCCCGCCTCAGCCTCCCAAAGTGCTGGGATTACAGGCGTGAGCCACTATGCCTGGCTGCAATCTGTTTTCTTATCTGTGAAAGAAAACTGTCTTGGAGGACTCAATATTGTTTCCAAAAACCAGCTAGTTCTTCTAAATGCAATGACAGGAGGGGGCAAAGGCCAAAGGATTCTGAAATTAGAAGAATACTTGGCACATAAAAGGCATTCTACAGATATTTGTTGAATATAAATGAATTAGTGTGATTAATGCTGTTATTTAGCTCACAGCACAGGCCTCCATTCCAATTCAGGTTTTTTTTTTTTTTCTTTTGAAACAGAGTTTTGCTCGTTGCCTAGGCTGGAGTGCAATGACATGATCTCGGCACACTGCAACCTCCACCTCCCAGGTTCAAGCAATTCTCCTGCCTCAGTCTCCCAAGTAGTTGGGATTACAGGCATGCGCCACCATGCCCGGCTGATTGTTTGTATTTTTAGTTGAGATGGGGTTTCTCCATGTTGGTTACGCTGGTCTTGAACTCCTGAACTCAGGTGATCCACCCACCTCGACCTCTCAAAGTGCTGGGATTATAGGTGTGAGCCATCACGCCTGGCCTTTGCAGTGAAAAAAAATTTTTTTTTTTTTTTGAGATGAAGTCTCACTCTGTCACCCAGGCTGGAGTGCAGTGGTGCAATCTTGGCTCACTGCAACCTCCACCCTCTGTGTTCAAGCGATTCTCCTGTCTCAGCCTCCTGAGTAGCTGGGATCACAGGTGCCCACCACCATGCCTAGCTAATTTTTGTATTTTTAGTAGAGTTGGGGTTTCGCCATGTTTGCCAGGCTGGTCTCGAACTCCTGACCTTAAGTGATCCACTTGCCTTGGCCTTCCAAAGTGCTGGGATTACAAGTGTGAGCCACCGCACCCAGCCTTGTGATTTTCTTTTATGTTATTTTTCTTCTTTCCCAGGCTGTCTTCTTCCTTGTTCCTTTTCCTCAGAATCAAGTAGAGACTGTGGTGACTCACCATATGCATTAAGTTTACTGAGCTTTCAAATGGTGTTGAAAACAAAATTAAGTTTAAAAAAGGTCAAGTCAAACAGTCTGGCAGAGAAATGGGGACTGGATAAGTACCAAATTGGTAATTATAATAATGGTCTTGGAAACCATGAATGGAATTCAGTTCAGACCCTTGCAGGGTACAGGGAAACCATGTCTAACATAATACAAATTATACTGTTGGGAGAACATCTCAGAAAGCATCAGAAGAGTCTCAGACAGTGTCTGAAAAATATTGCGGCTTTCTGAAATAAAATTCAGAAAAGCGGGAATAGACGTAAGTAATGTTACATAGTACACTTCAGATTTAAGATTGAGGTATTGCTAAAAATGAAGATCTTGAAGAATGAATAAAGGAAGTAGATTTAGACGAGGAAGAGGTTAAAATATTTGTTGTTGTTCTTTTCCAGGTTGATGACAGAAAGGATGGGCATGTGGCATTCTAGACGTAACAGCATTAGATTTGTTTGAAAGAACTGATAAACAGTGTCCAGAATTAAGCACATTTCCTCCATTTTCTCAAAAGAGTTTCCTGGAGAAGTCAGAAGAAATAATACAATTTCCTATTAAATGCAACATATAACCACTATCTTGAAAGGTCTAGACCACAGTATCTACCAAGCAAAGTACAAGGGCAATTTGAGAGAGAAGACTGAGCTAAGAATTTTTCTGATTTGATCATTTCAGAAGATTGTTAGGCATTTCGTACCAAAATTTGAAAATAATGGGTTTAGACTTACTCTCTCTGGGGGCAGGTCCTTTGAATTGACTTCTGATAGGCAACAGTGCCATGTTTCCGATGAGTTTGGTATCAGGATCCATGAGAGAAGAGTGGTAAGCCTGTAATGGCAAGCCCAGGAAGAACACAGAAGCAGAAAAAGAGCAAATGTCACTGTGGCAAACAACCTTCCCTTAAAGGAAAAAAAGAGTAAACCACCCAAGATTAATTAGGGGAGGGAGAAGGGATAGCAGCATTGAGGTGCGAGGGCTGGTTCTTTCTGGCTCAAGAAAACCAATTGTTAAATTTTGAGGCATTTTTCAAGCTGGTTGTTAAACACAGCTCTTCTCAAAAATCAAATTATATAAACTTACAATTAAGTAAATGATGTTGGCTGGACGTGGTGGCTCATGCCTGTAATCCCAGCACTTTGGGAGGCTGAGGCAGGCAGATTGCCTGAGCTCAGGAGTTTGCAACCAGCCTGGGCAACACAGTGAAACCCCATCTCTACTAAAATATAAAAAATTAGCCAGGCGTGGCGGCGTGCGCCTGTAGTCCCAGCCATGTGGGAGGCTAAGCTGGAGAATCACTTGAACCCAGGAGGCGAAGGCTGCAGTGAGCCGAGATCGTGCCACTGCACTCCAGCCTGGGCAACAGAGCAAGACTGTCTCAAAAAAAAAAAAAAAGTAAATAATGTTAAAAACAATGATGCTTAAGTATTCATCACTTCTTTTTTTTTTTTTGAGAAGGAGTCTCACCATGTTGCCTAAGATGATCTCAAACTCCTAAGCTCAAGTGTTCCTCCTGCCTCAGCCTCCCAAAGGGCTGGGACTACAGGTGTGAGCCACCACACCTGGCTACTTCCTAATTTTTTTTTTTTTTTTTGAGACAGAGTTTGGCTCTTGTTGCCCAGGCTGGAGTGCAATGACATGACCTTGGCCCACTGCAACCTCCGCCTCCCGGGTTCAAGTGATTCTCCTGCCTCAGCCTCCTGAGTAGCTGGGATTATAGGGATAAGCCACCACGCCCAGCTAATTTTGTATTTTTGGTAGAGACGATGTTTCTCCATTTTCGCCAGGCTGGTCTCGAACTCCCGACCTCAGGTGATCTGCCCGCCTTGCCCTCCCAAAGTGCTGGGATTACAGATGTGAGCCACTGCACTGCACTTGGCCTACTTCCTAATTTTTTTTTTTTTTTGAGACGGAGTCTTGCCCTGTCGCCCAGGATGGAGTGCGGTGGCGCGATCTCTGCTCACTGCAACCTCCGCCTCCTGGGTTCAAGCGATTCTCCTGCCCCAGCCTCCCAAGTAGCTGGGATTACAGGTGCGTGCCACCACGCCCAGCTAATTTTTGTATTTTTAGTAGAGACAGGGTTTCACCATGTTGGTCAGGCTGGTCTCGAACTCCTGACCCCATGATCCACCCGCCCCGGCCTCCCAAAGTGCTGGGATTACAGGCGTGAGCCACTGCACCCGGCAATAACCTAATTTTTAAAAATTACATTTTACTATTGTCTATGTTCTTAAGGTTATTATTACGAAATACTAAATAATGGGGTGCTGCTGTGCATCTCTTCCAATTCTATGTTCGGTGACATCACATTGGTATCTGGCCAAAGTATTTCCACTACAGAAAGACAAACATCATATAAATCAGGGTACCCAGCCCCCAGCTAAACCAAGACCCAAGCACTATCTTTTCAGCTCTGCCACTTCATGGCGTTATGCTTTTGACCAAGACATCATTCTTCTTCTCTTAGCTTGTTTCCAAATTTGTAAAATGAGAAGATATATATTCCCTTCAGTGGGTAGGTGTGTGTTAAAGGAAGGGATAAAAAAAATCACATTTATGAGAGCATTTTGTATGCTGATTCTTAGTTCTGCTTTTTACAAGATGTCTGGCTTTTTATAAGTCAACATGGGTCCCATTCATATATTCATTCATTCATCAAATGATTGCTAAGCACCTTCTATGTGCAAGACACTGTGATATAGTAATATACAAAGTAGTACGATTCTGGTCCTTGAAGAGTAGAGAAGACAGACAGAAAATAATCACAGGATGGGATGGGCGGGGTGGCTCACGCCTGTAATCCAAACACTTTGGGAGGCTGAGGCGGACAGATCACAAGGCCAGAAGATCGAGACCACCCTGACCAACATGGTGAAACCCCATCTCTACTAAAAATATCAAAATTAGCTGGGTGTGGTAGTGCATGCCTGTATTCCCAGCTACTTGGGAGGCTGAGGCATGAGAATCGCTTGAACCCAGGAGGCAGAGGTTGCAGTGAGCCGAGATGGCACCACTGCACTCCAGCCTGGCGACACAGCAAGACTCTGTCTCAAAAACAAACAAACAAACAAACCCCTCCCCCCAAAAAAACAAACAAACAAAACCCAACAGAGTGAATCCAGGGTGCTCTATGTGCGATTGGAACCAGTACAGGGATTTAGAGTCCTTTTTTTTTTTTTTTTTTTTTTTGGAGACAGAGTTTCCTAGGCTGGAGTACAGTGGCAGGATCACAGCTCACTGCAGCCTCAAACTCCTGGCTCCAGGTGATCCTCCCACCTCAGCCTCTTGAGAGGCTGGGAGGACATGCACTACCACATCCAGCTAATTTATTTTTATTTTTGTAGAGGCAGGGTCTCATTATGTTGCCCAGGTTGGTCTCAAACTCCTGGGCTCAAGTGATCCTCCCATCTTGGCCTCCTAAAGTGTTGGGATTACAGGCATAAGCCACTGCACCCAGCCTAGAGTCCTGGCTTAAAACCTGGTTTTACCATTACTAGGCAACCTTGTCCAAATTAACTTCTCTGAGGCTCCGTTTCCTCTTCTGTAAAACAGGAATCATGGTACCTACTTCATAGGGTCGTTATGAGGATTAGATGGGATAATTTATAAAGTGTGTACCCCAGAGCTCAGGAGTCAAATGGTAATTATGGGATTCATAAAATATGCATTTGTGAGGCTGAGCGAGGTGGCTCATGTCTGTAATCCCAACACTTAGGGAGGGTGAGGCAGGAGGACTGCTTGAGCCCAGAAGTTTGAGATCAGCCTGGACAACATGGTGAGACTCTGTCTCTACTAAAAACACAAAAACTTAGCTGGGCATGGTGGCGTACACCTGTAGTCCCAGCTGCTCAGGAGGCTGAGGTGGGAGGATCACCTGAACCGAGTTTGTGTCACTGAACTGCAGCCTGAGAGACAGGGTCACACCCTGTCTCAAAAAAAAAAAAAATGTATTTGCAACTATGGCTTGCTCCTTTTCATCACAGGTATGCTTTATCTAAAGCAGCCTCCGCCTTCCCTCTCACCAACTGTCTTGTTACCCATCTAGCTTCTTTTTTTCCGGGGGGGGGGGGGGTGGTGGTACAGAGTCTCACTCTGTCACTAGACGAGTGCAGTGGCACGGTCTCGGCTCACTGCAACCTCCGCCTCCTGGGTTCAAGCGATTCTCCTGCCTCAGCCTCCCAAGTAGCTGGGATTACAGGCACGCACCACCACGCCTGGCTAATTTTTGTATTTTTAGTAGAGATGGGGTTTCACCATGTTGGCCAGGCTGGTCTTGAACTCCTGACCTCGTGATCCGCCCACCTAGGCCTCCCAAAGTGCTGGGATTACAGGCGTGAGCCACTGCGCCTGACCACCCATCTAGCTTCTTTATAGCATTTGTCACTACCTGACACTACCGTATGTATCTCCTTTATTATGTTTACACTTTTATTGTCTCGACTCCCGATTTGAATGTACATTCTTTAAGATTAGGGATTTGTTGAACTTATTTGCTGCTGTAAATACAGCCTGGCAGGCAGCAGGTGCTCGTTAACGTTTGTTAAAAATAATGTGTGAGCAGGCTGGGCGCGATGGCTCACGCTTATAATCCCAGCACTTTGGGAGACCGAGGGGGCGGATCACCTGAGGTCTGGAGTTCCAGACCAGCCTGGCCAACATGGTGAAACCCCGTCTCTACTAAAATGCAAAAAATTAGCTGGGCGTGGTGGCGCGCGCCTGTAATCTCAGCTACCCGGGAGGCTGAGGCACGAGAATTGCTTGAACCAGGGTGGTGGAAGTTGTAGTGAGCCGAGATCGCCTCACTGCACTCCAGCCTGGGCGACAGAACGAGACTCTCTCAAAAAACAAACAACAAAAAAAGTGTGAACAATCACATAATAACTGAACCACCTTTTCCCGAATCTGCAAAATGGAGACCATGACGGTGATAAATCTACCCCACAAACTGGCTGTCAGAAATTAAGTACAACCAGGCCGTCATAATTTTTTACTCCCACTCTGATGGCACACGAAAAAGGAAATCTTTGGAAGTCAGGCGCCGAACGAGTCTGTGAGGGCCCTAAACCCAGCTGGCTCCGGGATGGCCGCCGCTGCCGGGAAGTGGGTTCTGACAAATGACAAACAGCAGAGGGAGCCTGACCCCGGGGCGGAGGAGGAAGTGGGCCTGACAGAAAAAGGAGAAGCTAGACCCCTGGACTTGAAATATGAAAAATAAAAAGCGCAGCCCTTGGCTTCGCTCTCTAGTGAGGCTTTGGGAACCCTGCCGGAGTCGGAAGGAGTAGACGGAGAGAGAAAAGGGCCTCCTCACACACCCTGGACCCTTGGCCCACTCCTGCCGCGCCCCCGCCTCCCACGACTGGCACCCCCGGGCCGCCCCAATCCTTCAGCAACCGGTCCCCTCCCCTCGCCTCCCTCCTTCTCGGGCCCCAGCTTCCTCTCTGCCTTCCGCCGCCCGCTTCTCTCGGCACACACACGGTTTCTCTCTGCTCTTCGCAATCCCCGCTGTCTCCCCACACCGTGGATCGAACCCTCACCGGCATCTTGGCGGCGCCCGGGTTTCAACCCAGAGGAGCAGGATCCAGGTACAGCGGAGCGCTTCCGGTCTGGCAGCCTGGGCGAGGTAGGCGGAAGCGAAACGGAAGGGGCGGGTGCGGACGTGGAGCTTCCGGCCTTGCAGTTCCGCTTCTGGTTGCAGCGGCCGCGCGGATCTGAAGGAGGCGCCAGAGCACTAGGCAGGGGCCTTGAGTGGTGCAGCGTGAGGCAGCGCCCAGAATGGAGATGGGTCTTGAGGTTCCAGAATCTGAGATCAATCACCTCTTTTGTATTTTTTTCAAATGTCACCTTTTCAGGGCCGGGCATAGTGGCTCACGCCTGTAATCCCAGCACTTTGGGAGGTCGAGGCGGGTGGATCACCTGAGGTCAGGAGTTCGAGACCAGCCTGGATGGTGAAACCCCGTCTCTACTAAAAATACAAAAATTAGCTGGTCGTGGTAGCATCCCAGCTACTCGGGAGGCTGAGGCCGGAGAATCGCTTGAACCCAGGAGGCAGAGGTTGCAGTGAGCCAAGATCGCGCCGCTGCACTCCAGCCGGGATGACAGTGTGACTCTCTCAAAAAAAAAAAAAAAAAAAAAAAAAAAAAATCACCTTTCCTGTGAAGCATTCTCCGTTCATTCTATTTTCAGTTCACCCAACTCCAGCCCCATGCCTTATCCTTCTCTCCCGCTTTTTCCCTTAGTTCTTACGATTCTTGTATTTAGTTTACTCTTAGTGCTTGTGAATGCCAAAAAGGCAGCACTTCGTCCGTTTTGTCACCTGCGCCCGTAACAGTGACGGTATGTAGGAAACATCAATATTTGAGTGAATGAATGAACCCAATGCACTGCATCTAAAAATGGAGAAACTGAAGGGCACTGGACTCCAGGTTTGAATCGCAGCTCCAATACATACTAGCTCTGTAATTTTGAGCAAGTTAACTGGCCTGTGCTTCAGTTCCTCACCTGAAAATGGCAGTAACAGTATTTACCTCATAGTTTTGTGAGGATGAAATGAATTACATGTAAAATGCTTAGAACTTACATGCTTGGAGCATACTGAAAGCCCAGAGTTTTAACTTATTTATTACTAGAAAACTTCTTATGTTAAAAGTCAAGTTCATTGCTGCCTGAGAGCCATTTCTTCTGCCAGTTCCCAGCCTGAAATAGGACCCCATGTTCCCACATCTGATTTCACATTCAGCTGACTGGGCAAATAGCACCTTTTAGGCAAGGTCTTTTTTGACAAAGAGCCCAAAGTAGCCCCATAATCACTCTCCATTTCTTTTCTGCTTTTCTTTCCATCCTCTCTCTGAGGTTTCCTTCCTCATGGTCAGTCTCACAGGCCCAGCATGGCAGCCCCACGTGAGCAAGGCCCTGCCTGCACTGTGCATCCCTGTTCTATCCCCAGTGTCTGGCATCCACGGAACTTCAGTAAATTTGTGTAAATTTACTGAATTTCTGTCAGCCCTGCCTATGAGACAGTGAAATCCTCGAGGACTGGAATTGTCAGATTCATCTTTGAAACCCCAGTGTCCAGTGGGGAAGGCACTGGAATCGGGTCCTTCACTTTTTCTCCACAGGCACATACCATACTCTCTAGAAGCTAAACCAGGGAGGACCAAGGAAGAGGGCAACTGAAAATCTGCCTCTTCTTTCTTCCCCTCCCATGTGACAATAAGTTTCTAAGAATTAGCAACCCTGGGAGATCAGGCTGTTTCCACACTATCTATCCTCTAAGGGCCACAGGAAGGTCCCCAGGCAGCCCAGCACATCCCCATGTTGCCCACTCATCATGCTCCTCCCTGAGTGGACCATGGGGTAGACACCCGACCCTTCCCTCTAGCCTGGCCCCCAGGCATAAGCTACCACCGATACTTACAGGTCCTCACATTTTTTTTTTTTTTGAGATGGAGTCTCACTCTGTTGCCCAGGCTGGAGTGCAATGGTGCGATCCTGGCTCACTGCAACCTCCACCTTCTGGATTCAAGGGATTCTCCCACCTCAGCCTCTCAAGTAGCTGCGATTACAGGCACGCGCCACCACGCCCAGCTAATTTTTTGTATTTTTAGTAAAGACAGGCTTTCACCATGTTGGCCAGGTTGGTCTTGAACTCCTGACCTCAGGTGATCCACCTGCCTCGGCCTCCTAAAGTGCTGGCATTGTAGGTGTGAGCCACCACGCTTGGCCACATTTTGCTTAATTAAAATGAATCAAATTAGACACTGCAGTGTACTTGTTATCTAGGTCCAAGAATCATTAAAAACCTTTGTTTCTTTTATATATACACATACATATCTCAAAACATAGTTATTTTTACTTTTTAAGTTATATAAATAATATACATTTTCAATATAGGAAAATGGGAAGATACAGATAAGCAGTGGTCTTATATATATCCTTGCAGCTTTTTCCCTTCGGACATACATATTTTGTTACAGTAATTCCTGCATCTCAAAAATAATACAAAAAGTGAAAATAAGTTTAGACCAGCCTTAACCTTAGCTCAGGTGCTAATTTATATATAAATCTATGTGCATTCATTTCAATTTTGACTTACAAAATCTAAAGTGATGCTGTTATAATACTAAAAGATTCCACTTTAAACAGCAGCAGTTTCAGAATAATTAAAAATTTGATTCAGGCATGAGGCTGATAAAGAACGAAGTTTTACTTTTTTTCATTAAAATAAGTAGCTTTCTACTATTGCATCCTTTGAAGAGAAGAATGTTCTGCTGGTTTGGCCACAAGCTCTTTAGATGGTTACTTTTAGTAAACTCTTCATTCATCCTGGCATTCTTGAAAATATTCGTCAAACATAGAGGAAGACTCATCTTCACGTTCCTGACACAATGGAAACACAAAATAGAAAATATATTCATTTCCCCTCAGTCAGAACTAGTATGTGTTTATATATTTTTCAGGTAATACCCTATGTGGAACTAATTACCCAGCACCAGCTCCAGGTGCTGCTTATAGGTAACTGTTAATAGTAAGAAAAGGCATGATTGACAGATTTTTTTCCAGTTATGTAGTAAATTAATGTGCTTCTATCCCAGAAGCATTTCTCATTTGAATTTACATTCAAGACGATTCTTGGCTAATTTCCTGTGATAGTGCTTTACTTCGCTGGTAGTCTAGTGGTCAGGAAAATAAAAAATAAAAAAATAAAAAAATGCTTAGCTGATACTATCATTAGTCTTCTCAATGACATACGTGAGGGCAGCCCAATTTCACCTCCTCTTTACACATACACCCAAGCTCTAAGTACACACAGGCTTCATCATACTGCCTCAACAAAAGTAGAGTAAAAGTGATACTGCTTGTGGAGTACAGTGTTAATTTCAGAGATCACCCAGAAAAGCCCAGTTAACTGCCATCAATAAGACAAAAAACTAATTTAAGGAGTCGCCTGGATTATGCAAGAGTCCAGTGAGTGCTGGCAAATATTTTTATCAAAAGCTAACAAACACCCCAAACCAGAAATTACCTTTGGTTCTTTAAATTCTAGGTCTTCTCCATATTGAATGGCAAAATCAATATGCTGCAATACAATGTTCATGCTTTCTTCATCTGACTGATCGTAAGGTAAAAATCGAACCATGCTGTAGTCATCAATCTACAAGTTGTGGATTTCAAGAAAAGTTCATTCTGAAGTTGTGCAAAATACATAATTTTCAACTTATATTTGAGTTTTATAACCATTTGTACTTCTGAATAAAAACACTGATGTGTTTACAGGAAGAGGAGGAGAAGGGATAGCTAGACACAGAGAGTAAATCATTGATTTTTCTGACTTCTGATCTGCTAGAACACTTGTTAGCTTATTACTTTAACTAGACACTGTTTCACGGCTATTTATCTGAATTCAACAACCACTGGAAATTTCACAAGAGAACAAACAGTCCTGAACTCTCCAAATGGCTTGAAATAATAAGATGTTAGTTTATTTATTGGCCACTACCAATAACTACTTCTAAATTAAACTGCTGACTGACCAGCCCACAGCCCTTTTCCCTCCACTTTGCAGAAAATAGGGTTGAACTGTGCTTTTTATATGGCAAATGACTGGACACAGGCAAACACTTGACCAGGTGTTTAGGAAAAAAACCCAAAAAACTTCATCTTTTTTTTTCTTTTTTTTTTTTTTTGGGGAGACAGAGTTTCGCTCTTGTTGCTCAACCTCCACCTCCAGGTTCAAGCAATTCTCCTGCCTCAGCCTCCTGAGTAGCTGGGATTACAGGTGTGCCCTACCATGCCCGGCTAATTTTGTATTTTTAGTACAGACGGGGTTTCACCATGTTGGTCAGCCTGGTCTTGAACTCCTGACCTCAAGTGATCCACCTGCCTTGGCCTCCCAAAGTGCTGGGATTATAGGCGTGAGCCACTGCACACCTGGCGCCCTTTTTGTTTTTGTTTTTTTTTGAGATAGGGTTTCTCTGCTGCCTAGGCTAGAGCACAGTGACATGATCTGATCATGGCTCACTACAGCCTTGACCTCCCAGGCTCAAGGGATCCTCCCACCTCAGCCTCCACAGTAGCTGAGACTACAGGCGTGCAGCACCATGCCTGGCTTTTTTTTTTTTGAGACAGAGTCTTGCTGTTGTTGGACCGGGCTGGAGTGCAATGACAAGATCTCGGCTCACTGCAACCTCCACCTCCTGGGTTCCAGCAACTCTCCTGCCTCAGCCTCCCGAATAGCTGGGATTATAGGCATGCACCACCACGCCTGGCTAATTTTTGTATTTTTTAGTAGAGATGGGGTTTCACCATGTTGGCCAGGCTGGTCTCAAACTCCTGACCTCAGGTGATCCACCCACCTCGGCCTCCCAAAGAGCTGGGATTACAGGCGTAAGTCACCGCGCCTGGCCTAATTTTTTTTTGTTTTTGAGACAAAGTCTTACTCTGTCGCCCAGGCTGGACTGCAGTGGCATGATCTCAACTCACTGCAACCTCCGCCTCCCGAGTTCAAGTGATTCTCCTGTCTCAGGCTCCCGAGTACTAGGATTACAGGCGCACACCACCATGCCCAGCTAATTTTTTTTTGTATTTTTAGTAGAGACAGGGTTTCACCATGTTGGCCAGGCTTGGTCTTGAACTCCTGATCTCAAATGATCAGCCTGCCTTGGCCTCCCAAAGTGCTAGGATTACAGGTGTGAGCCACTGCACCTGGCCTAATTTAAAAAATTTTTTTAGAGATAGGGTGTCACTATGTTGCCCAGGCTGGTCTTGAACTCCTGGACTCAATCTTGCTGCCTTGGCCTGCCAAAGTGCTAGGGTTACAGGCATTAGCCACTGCACCTGGCCAAAAAATCCAAACTTTAAAAGCTTACCAGTCCACATATAGCTTTAGTCAGTTTCTTGAATTTTTTGCTTCTTAAGTCACTTGTAGAATCTTCTAATAAAGAATACATGTCTGGATCTAAAAATCTTTAAAAGACAGAAAGACTGATGAATTCAGGAGACTAGGTTTATAAACCAGCCAAACTTCCCATCTAAATAAAACAGAAGGTTCATCTCTGCAACTGAGATCTGATAATAATGGAAGAACAGTGAACTCACTTCTCAATTTCCTTTTTTGCTTTTTTACTCAGCAGATCCATTTTTGTCATGATGTTGACTTGCGGAATTTCTAGAGAGATCATGGCACTCAGGGCTGCCAAGATGCCAGAAATAAACTGAAGGAGGAAACAGAAAAGGGAAGATGAACTGACTGTTGCCAACAGTTACCTGGTCTGCATAAAGAGTCTTCTATTCCTCACTGGAACAGAACTGGCCTAAATAAAAGAAATGCAAGCTGGACGTGGTGGCTCATGCCTGTAATCCCAACACTTGGGGAGGCTGAGGCGGGCAGATCACCTCAGGTCAGGAGTTCAAGACCAGCCTGGCCAACGTGGTGAAACCTTGTCTCTACTAAAAATACAAAATTAGCCAGGCATGGTGGCATGTGCCTGTAATCCCAGCTACTCAAGAGTCTGAGGCAGGAGAATCACTTGAACCCAGGAGGCGGAGGTTCCCGTGAGCCAAGATTGCGCCACCACATTCCAGCCTGGGCAACAACGGCAAAACTTGGTCTCAAAAAAAAAAAAAAAAAAAAAGAAATGCCAGTTCAGAACATGTGGAAAAGGCAAAATTATTTATATTTTATTAAAAGTAATGCTAGCCATATAGAAAAAAATGTTCCCAAATCATTGGGAATCAAATGCTTGATTCTTGGTTCCCAAAGGTGAGGGAAGATATAGATAACATACAGTGATCACAAATTTCAATTTAGACAGCATTTTAATTTCCTTTCCCATCTAATATTCCTTAAGAGCTATTAATAAAAAATTTGATCTTGGTAGTTCATAAACTGGACAAAAGGTCCTCAGAAAATTAAAAATAGACTATTTTATAAAATAGCCATCTGCTTCAGTTTTTTCTCCCCCACTACTTCCTCTTTTTTTTTTTTTTTGAGACAGAGTCTCACTCTGTCACTCAGGCTGGTGTGCAATGGTGCGATCTTGGCGATCTTGGCTCACTGCAACCTCTGCTTCCTGTACTCAAGCGATCCTCCCACTTCAGCTTCCCAAGTAGCTGGGACTACAGGCATGTGCCACAACGTCTAGCTAATTTTTATATTTTTTGTAGAGACAGGGTCTCACTCTGTTGCCCAAGCAGGTCCGAAACTCTTGGGCTCAAGCAATCCTCCTGCCTTGGCCTCCCAAAGTGCTAAGATTATAGCTGTGAACCACTTCACCCAGCAACCTCAGTTTTTTTCTTGGTAAGCAGTTCCTCCTAAATCTCTATGATATAATAATTTACTATTTTTGATTAACAACATGTTATAATTTAATAATAAAAGGGATAAAGTAACTCTGGAATCATTTGTGAAATGTTCAGAATCACACAATAATTAAAGGAACTGTCATCTGCTTGAACTCATAGTTTAAAAATCTTTAAGAGAACTTTGGGAGGCCAAGGCAGGTGGATCACTTGATGTTTGAGGTCAGGAGTTTGAGACCAGCCTGGCCAACATGGTAAAACCCCGTCTCTACTAAAAATACAAAAATTAGCCAGGCATGATGGCACACACCTGTAATTCCAGCTACTCAGGAGGCTGAGGCACAAGAATCACTTGAACTGGGAGGCGGAGGTTGCAGTGAGCTGAGATCACGCCACTGCGCTCCAGCCTAGGCAACAGAGTAAGACTCTGTCACACACACAAAAAAAAAAAAAAAAAAAAAAAAAAAATCTGTAAGAGATTTAGCTTCAGACCTTGAATGACTCCACCATGAACTGAGAATCAACAAGAAAAACTCCACAGACTCGGAACTCCCACTGCTCGAGCTGCTGGACCAGCTGTTTCATCACAGGCAGGTGAGTGTACAACTCAATCTGACCTACATGAAGAGTATTGCAAGAATTTTAGAAATAGCAAGTATGTTAAATCATCAAGTTAGAGGAAACAAATTTTCCCCATAAGATGGACAAAAATAAAAGCCAACACATTTTTAAGGGGCCCACAGCCTCTCAAAGCAATCATAAAACCTAAGGTACTGCCACCATAGGAATCCCTAACTATTAAGTTTTATGTAGAAAATGAGGTTCTCTGGTTGGGCAGGGTGGCTCATGCCTGTAATCCCAGCACTTTGGGAGGCTGTGGCAGGTGGATCACTTGAGGCCAGGAGTTCAAGACCAGCCTGACCAACATAGTGAAACCCCATCTCTACTAAAAATACACAAAAATTAGCCAGGCGTGGTGGTGCGCGCCTGTGGGATGCTGAGGCACAAGAATTGCTTAAACCCGGGAGGAGGAGGCTGCAGTGAGCCAAGATCACGCCACTGCACTCCAGCCTGGGCGACAGAGTAAGACTCTGTCTTTAAAAATAAAAAAAAAGAAAGAAAGAAAGAAAATGAGGTTCTTCACACTTTAGTTTTCTGCCAATCAATATGAGTGTTATTGGCCAGATGCCATGGTTCACACACCTGTAATCCCAGCACTTTGGGAGGCTAAGGTGGGAGGATAGCTTGAGCCCAGGACTTTGAGAGCAGCCTGAGCAATATAGTGAGATCCTATCTCTACAAAAATAAATAAATAAGTGCTACAAAGATATCTATAGTTTGGGAATATTCATCAAGCTGTATACTTATGACATATATACTTTTCTGTGGGTATATGTATGGTCAATTAAAAGCAAGGGGAAAAAAGTGAGGGCCATAAATGGTCAAAGCCAGGTTAGGCTCAAGTTGAAAATTCACAATTTGGGCTGGAGGTGGTGGCTCACACCAGTAATCCCAGCATTTGGGAGGCCGAGGCAGGTGAATCACCTAAGGTCCAGAGTTTGAGACCAGCCTGGCCAACACAGTGAAACCCTGTCTCTACTAAAAATACAAAAATAGCCGGGTGTGGTGGTGGGTGCCTGTAATCCCAGCTACTTGGGAGACTGAGACAGGAGAATCACTTGAACCCAGGAAGTGGAGACTGGAGTGAGCCGAGATGGCGCCATCATACTCCAGCCTGGGTGACAGGAATGAAACTCAGTCTCAAAAAAAAGAAAAAAAAAAAAGAAAATTCACGATTTGGCTTCAGAAGCCATGATGTGCTATTATCTGTCTCCTACCAGTCACACCTCATGACAATTGCCTCTTTGTTTATTATGCTCCAGCCACACTGGCCTTTTCAGTGCCTTAAAACAGCTTTGTTCCTTCCTCCTGGGAGGTGTTCAGCAGGCTGTGCCCTCTGCCTTCCTCACCCTCAGCCTCCAGCCCAGCTGAAAGGCCGCCTCAGATGCCTCTCTAACCGCCATTATCTGTGTGATGATCTGTGCTACTCCTGTGGAATACTCAATGACAACTGAATATTAAATAATCATTTGGATGCTTTTTGTTTGTACTGTCTCGAGTTCTGCCAAATGTGAGCTCCATGAGGCCAGAGACCATGGCCATCTGTGCTCTATGGTATTCCCAGTGTACAAAGCAAGCACTTAATAGATATACTTTTTTTTGTTTTTTTTTTTTGTTTTTGAGACAGAGTCTCATTCTGTTGCCCAGGCTGGAGTGTAGTGGTACAATCTTGGCTCACTGCAAGCTCCACCTCCCAGGTTCATGCCATTCTCTTGCCTCAGCCTCCCGAGCAGCTGGGACTACAGGCGCCCGCCACCATGCCTGGCTAATTTTTTGTATTTTTAGTAGAGACAGGGTTTCACCATGTTAGCCAGGATGGTCTCGATCTCCTGACCTCGTGATCCACCTGCCTCGGCCTCCCAAAGTGATGGGATTACAGGCGTGAGCCACTGCGCCCGGCCTCAACAGATATACTTAGTAAGTGACAGCCATTGAATAAGCTTGGTACTTTACTGCAGTATAGTTTAGAGCTACAAATACTCACTCTCCTTTCTCCTACTAAGGATGGAACTATCAAGACTTTAAGGAAGACAATGCATTCAAATTGTTGATTCACCTGGACAATCAAAAAGGATATAGTCGTCCTCTACATGGCCAAGACAGTTCTCCAGCCAGTCAAAATTATTGGCAAAGTACTCCATGCAAAATACCAATCCTCCGTTGGGACCGAATCGCAGAGAATCATCCTCCATTACATCATCCACCTCGATCAGTTCCCGGATGTCTGAAAAGGACAGATAGGGCCCAGAATATATGTGTCCCTTCAAAAATTGTTATCCTTACTAGAAATAGAACATAAAAGTTAATAATTACATAAAAAACCCATATGCAGGAAATTATTTATGTACATGGCTTTTCCCTGTAGCAGTGTCCATCAATAGAGAACTGAGCAAATAAATTATTGTACAGCCCGACAATGGAATACTACACAGCCATAAATGGGGAAAATCTCTTTAAGTATTAATAATAATACAATCTCCTAGGTATATTGTTCAGTGAAAAATGCAAGGTGCAGAACTGTGTAAGAATGCTATCATTGGTGTTAATAAAAGACAAAAATTCACTACATAGACATAATACATATACATCTTGAATTTTATGTGCACAGGCTATGAAAGAACACACCAGAAACTGGTAACACTGGCTGCTGCCAGGGAGGGGAGCTGATTGCTGGGATGCAGAGCTGAGAGGAAGATGTTTTCCTGTATACTTACTCTTTAGTACTTTTACATTATGAACCATGTGAATATGTATTACCTATTCCAAAAAAGTACAAAACCAAAAAAAGAAAACAGATTACCATTTCTTAACACAATGACACTAAGGAAACTATTTCACCTCCTTGAGCCTCACTTTCCTTATCCTGGGTTAGAAGGATGAGAACTATGAGATAATATATCAAAATCACCATCAGGGGCTGGGTGCGGTGACTCCTGCCTGTAATCCCAGCACTTTGGATGAGGCAGGCGGATCACTTGAGGTCAGGAGTTCAAGACTAGCCTGGCCAACATGCTGAAACCTGTCTCTACTAAAAATATAGAAATTAGGCTGGGCATGGTGGCTCATGCCTGTAATCCCAGCACTTTGGGAGGCCGAGGTGGGGGGATCATGAGATCAGGAGTTCGAGACCAGCCTGGCGAACATGGTGAAGCCCCATCTCTACTAAAAATACAAAAATTAGCAGGCATGGCGGCGCACGCCTGTAGTTCTAGCCACTCCGGAGGCTGAGGCAGGAGAATCACTTGAACCCAGCAGGCAGAGGTTGCAGTGAGCCAAGATCACGCCACTGCTCTCAAGCCCAGGCGACAGAGCAAGACTCCATCTCACTTTCCAACTTGGACCCAGCAGAATGGCTCCTGCAAAGAAGGGTGGCGAGAAGAAAAAGGGCCATTCTGCCATCAACGAAGTGGTAACCCGAGAATACACCATCAACATTCACAAGCACATCTATGGAGTGGGCTTCAAGAAGCGTGCCCCTCAGGCACTCAAAGAGATTCAGAAATTTGCCATGAAGGAGATGGGAACTCCAGATGTGCGCATTGATACCAGGCTCAACAAAGCTGTCTGGGCCAAAGGAATAAGGAATGTCCCATACTGAATCCGTGTGCAGCTGTCCAGAAAACGTAATGAGGATGAAGATTCACCAAATAAGCCATATACTTTGGTTACCTATGTACCTGTCACCACTTTCAAAAATCTACAGACAATGTCGATGAGAACTAATCACTGATCGTCAAATACATCAAATAAAGTTATAAAATTGAAAAAAAAAAAGACTCCATCTCAAACAAAAACAAACAAAAATAGAAAAATTAGTCAGGTGTGCTGGCATGTGCCTGTAATCCCAGCTGCTCGGGAGGCTGAGGCAGGAGAATCACTTGAACCCAGGAGGCAGAGGATGTAGTGAGATGACATGGTACCACTGCACTCCAGCCTGGGTGGCAGAGAGAGACTGTCTCAGGAAAAAAAAAATCACCAACAGGAGAGGCTTAAAAAATTCTGGTATGGTTATCTTACTAATTTTGGGGAATCAGTATATAGAATCTTCTACCTTAGGTTTTTACTTATTTTTGTGCTCAAACCTACATTCTCCATTCACAAAGGACTGAGCTTCATTCACAGTCACATTTATACTGACAACACCTTCCTACCCCCTCCCTCAGCAATCAATAACAGATAACTGATCCAAATTGGGACAATCAATCTGGCTTTCTTTCTTTTTAGACAGGGTCTCACTCTGCTGCCCAGGCTGGAGTGCAGTGGCATAATCATGGCTCACTGCAACCTTGACCTCGTAGGCTCAAGTGATCCTCCCACCTCAGCCTCCTGAGTGGCTGGGAATAAAGGCACCCGCCAGCATGCCAGGCTAATCTTTGTATTGACTTGTAGAGATGGGGTTTCACCATGCTTCCCAGGCTGGTCTTGAACTCCTGGGTTCAGGCCATCCATCTGCTTTGGCCTCCCAAAGTACTGGGATTACAGGTGTCAGTCATAGCGCCCATCCTAAGTCCTCTTTTTAACTAAGCTAGCTTAGAGTGGTTTCTGTTTGCTGCAGCCAAATGGTTCCAAAGTAATACAATGCCTTTTTTCTCAAAGAAAAGCATTTCACATCTCCTCCTCTCCCTTCAATCTGCCTCCCCGCAACCTGCTCACTCATTAACAGAAATCAGAAGTTTCCCTTTGCACTTAGTGAGTGCAAAGAGAACGTCCCCAAACCTAAAACGACCTGTCTCCCTCCACAGGAAATTATATCATACACTGAACAAAGCTGTAAGACCTCACCCTTGATTCCTTACTTTGCTATGCCTTCTTGGTTCAATCCCCCACAAAATGCTGTTAATTCAACTTGCAAAATATATTGAATCTGTCTGCTTCCTTACATCTCCACCGTGACCACCCTAGTCCTGGTGTACACCTGGCTAACTACAACAGCGGCAGTGCAGGTTGTACTTCTTTTTTTAATTTTAAAATGGAGTTTTGCTCTTGTTGCCCAGGCTGGAGTGCAATGGTACGATCTCGGCTCACCAGAACCTCTGCCTCCCGGGTTCAAGCGATTCCCCTGTCTCAGCCTCCAGAGTAGCTGGGATTACAGGCATGTGTCACCACACCCAGCTAATTTTGTATTTTTTTTTTTTTGAGACGGAGTCTCGCTCTGTTGCCCAGGCTGGAGTTCAGTGGCGCGATCTCGGCTCACCGCAAGCTCCGCCTCCCGGGTGCACGCCATTCTCCTGCCTCAGCCTCCCCAGTAGCTGGGACCACAGGCGCCCGCCACCATGCCCGGCTAGTTTTTTGTATTTTTAGTAGAGACGGGGTTTCACTGTGTTAGCCAAGATGGTCTTGATCTCCTGACCTTGTGATCCGCCTGCCTCGGCCTCCCAAAGTGCTGGGATTACAGGCGTGAGCCACCATGCCCAGCCATGCAGGTTGTACTTCTACTCTCAACCCACTAGAGTCCATTTTTCATCTGAGCACCTGAGTTATTTTTTAAAACATAAATCAGGCCAAGTGCGGTGGCTCATGCCTATTATCCCAGCACTTTCGGAAGTCAAGCTGGGTGAGTCACTTGAGCCCAGGAGTTTGAGACCAGCCTGGAAATCGAGACCAGCCTGGGCAATGAGACCAGCCTGGGCAACATGGAGAAACCCCGCCTCTACAAAAAATACAAAAATTACCCAGGCATGATAGTGTGTGCCTGTAGTCCCAGCTACTTGGGAGGTAGGAGGATTGCTTGAGTCCAGGAGGTTGAGACTGCAATGAGCTGTGATCAGGCTACTATACTATATAGCCTGGGTGACAGAGTGAGACCTTGTCTCAAAAACAAAACGACAACAACAACAAAAACAAAAAAAGGCCGGATGCAGTGGCTCACGCCTCTAATCCCAACACTTTGGGAGACTGAGGCCAGCAGATTGCTTGAGCTCAGGAGTTTGAGACCAGCCTGGGCAGCATGGTGAAACCCTGTCTCTACAAAAAAAAAAAAAAAAAAAAAAAAAAAAAAAAAAGTATAAAAATTAGCCAGGCATGGTGGCACGCATCTGTAGTCCCAGCTACTTGGGAGGCTGAGATGGGAGGATGGCTTGAGCTCAGGAGGCAGAGGTTGTGTCACTGCACTCCAGCCTGGGCGACAGAGCTGGACCCTGTCTCAAAAAAAAAAAAAAACCCCAAAACGTGTATCAAATGTCAATCCTTTCCTCTTCTTAAAACCCTCTAGTGGCACCCCACTGACAACAGGATAAAATCCCATCTTATCATGTCCTGTTAGCCCCTACCCACTTCTTTCTTTCAGACATTACGCTTTAGCTCACTGACATCTTAGCTTTCCTGGAGAATACCAAATCCTTTCTCACCTCCAGGCTATTTATTTATTTATTTTATTTTTCAGAGATGGATCTTGCAATGTTGCCCAGGCTGGACTTGAACTCCTGGGCTCAAGTGATCCTCCCACATCAGCCTCCCAAGTAGCTGGGACTACAGGCACATGTCCCTGCACCCAGCTTGGCATATTTATTGATCTAAATGTTCCCTCATTTTGGAAGGACTTTCCTCAGCCTGAGGAGCATATTACCATCCTTCAGGTCTAGGCTCAAAGATCCCCTCCTCAGAGTCACCATTCTCCCTGACAATTCTAGCTAAAGCAACCTCAATGAGTACTTCTCATGAGCCTGTCTGCAGTCATCACATTCTGTAACATGTTCATCATGTTGTTTATTGCCTATTTCCTAAAGGGTTGGTGTGGGCAGGGATAATGTCTGTATTATTCTCTGCTATAACTCCGGTGTCTGGCGTAAAACAGGTGTTCAACAGACACTTGAATGAACAAATTGAAAGAATTAAAAAAAACAAACCCAGGCTCCTGACTTATAGTGATCAGCAATATACCACATGATTCACTACAGCAGGACTAAGGACAAAAGGGACAGAATGAAAGGGTGCTGAGGGAAGTGTCCATTTACTTTTTTTTTTTTTTTTTTTGAGATGGAGTCTCGCTCTGTTGCCCAGGCTGGAGTGCAGTGGCGCAATCTCGGCTCACTGCAACCTCTGTCTCCTGGGTTCAAGCGATTCTCCTTTCTCAGCCTCCTGAGTAGCTGGGATTACAGTCACATGCCACCACACCCAGCTGATTTTTTTGTGTTTTTAGTAGAGACAGGGTTTCACCATGTTGGTCAGGCTGGTCTCAAATTCCTGACCTCGTGATCCACCCGCCTCGGCCTCCCAAAGTGCTGGAATTACAGGCATGAGCCTCCGCGCCCGGCCCCATTTACTTTTAAATCTTACATCAAAGACCAAGAAAGGATACTGTCACACATATCACCATGAACAGATGTGACCAAATGACAAGCTCATGCTATTTACCATAACACCAGGGATCCAGACTATAATAAGTATCAGTGCTAAGCAGCTAGTACTCACTGCCTCCCCAGCCCTTACTGTTCCTGAAGGTGGGGGGAGCCTTTGCTCAGGACTTACCAGCCATCACGGAGTAGTTGAAGTGTTCTGCTGCTGGATCCAGGTTTACAACTTGGACAGACCGGTTGAGGGCTTCACAGTGCTGGACCATGGTGGCACAGTAGGTGCTCTGTAATGTCACAAGGCATGAGAGGTTAAAGCAACAGGTAGTGTAGTGCTACCTTCCATACTCTGGAATACTATCCACTAAGGTCAAAACTATGCCTTCATCAACCAAGAGGCTGACTGACAACAAGGGAAAAAGATACCTGACTGGGCTGCAGATTCAAACCTGACTTAGACTCATGGGTACCTCTGGGGAATTTACTTCTCCACTCTGCCCTTCAATTTTCGTGTCTCTAACTGGGATGTCCTCCATAATCACTAAGGCTCCTTACTGTTCTAAATGTGACAAGCGGTATTTAAAGGGAAGAGTTCTGGTTACATAGTGTAACACCTAACACAGTGTCTCTACCAGGACTTGTACAGTGCAAACAAAGCTTTAGGTAGGATGGTCAGGGATGATGTCTCTGAGTAGGGGAGATATGAGTATATGAGAAGGAGTTTGCCAACCTAAGGGGAAGAGCATTCCAAGATGAAAGAACGCCAAGATCAATAAATAGTCTGGAGGTGGCTATCAGTTTGTAACTTTTGGTTTAGATAATTCTTTATCCATTATGTAGTTGTTACCGTACTATGTTAACATCTCGGGCTGGGTGCAGTGGCTCACACCTGTAATCCCAGTACTTTGGGAGGCTGAGGTCGACGGATCACCTGAGGTCAGGAGTTGGAGACCAGCCTGGCCGACATGGTGAAACCTCGTCTCTACTAAAAATACAAAAATTAGCTGGGCGTGGTGGCGTATGCCTGTAATCTCAGATACTCAGGAGGCTGAGGCAGGAGAATCGCTTGAACCCGGGAGGCAGAGGTCGCAGTGAGCTGAGATCACACCACTGCACTCTAGCCTGGATGACAGAACAAGACTCCTGGCTCAAAAAAAAAAAAAAGTCTCTAGGCTACTTGTCTGTGTCATACTCTGTTTAAAGGCAGAGATGTGTCTTATTCAGTTTCCCAAGCACAGGGACTAGCGCAATACCTAGTACATAATAAATACTTGATAATTGTTTCTAATTGACTTATTATGTTTAAAGATAAGCTCCACAAGGGCACGGATTTTGTGTGTGCATGTTTTTTTCCCCATACAACCCCCAGGGCCCAAAACAGTGCCTGGGATAAAGAACGTACTCAAGGAATGTTTCTGATAGTAAGCATCAAAAGCTTATAAAGATACTTGTTTAATACAATCAGCCCAAAAATTAAAATAGACTATAGAAAAAACATCCATCATGCTGTCCTCTCAGTGCCTTTACACATACTGTTGTCTCTGTCTGGAATGCCCTCTCCATACATCACACACTGTATCTTTTTTTTTTTTGCAAAGGGTCTCACTGTCACCCAGGCTGGAGTGCAGTGGCACCATCATAGCTCACTGCAGCTTTGACCCAGGCTCAAGCGATTCTCCAGCCTTAGCCCCCCGAGTAGGTGGGACTATAGGCTCTCGCCACCATGCCCAGCTAATTTTTGTATTTTTGGTAGAGACAGGGCTTCACCATGGTGCCCAGGCTGACCCTGAACTCCTGGGCTCAAGTGATCTGCTGGCCTCAGCCTCCCAAAGTGCGAGGATTACAGGCTTAAGCCACCACACCTGGCCACATCACACTGTATCTTAATTGACAGGTCATCTATTTGTCTTCCCCAAAAGACTACAGACTCTGGGTAAGTTAAAGGCCATAGGTATCTTAGTTACATGTACATGTTTTTACCCAGAATAAGTCAACAGCTTAGAACAATGTGTTTGTTAAAGACTGAGGCCACACAACACCTCCACAGACTCTAGTGTTTCCACACTTCTTCTTTTTTTTTTTTGCGACAGTACCTCTGTCACCCAGGCTGGAGTGCAGTGGCACGATCACCACTCACCACAGCCTCAACCTCCTGGGTTCAGGTAATCCTCCCACTTCAGCTTCCCGAGAAGCTGGGACTAGAGGTACCTGCCACCAGGCCTGGCTAATTTTTGCATTTTTTTGTAGAGACAGAGTTTCGCCGTGTTGCCAAGGCTGGTCCCAAACTCCTGGGCTCAGGCGATCCGTCCACCTCCATCTCCCAAAGTGATAGGATTACAGACGTGAGCCACCACGCCTGGCTATGTTTCCCACACATATGTTATTTGATCCATATCTTCACCATTCTCACTGTATTTGAATGTTCCTAACATTCCCTTAATATTTGTTTACAAGAAAAAATTTTATCCCTACTGTAAACTGAAAACCACTTATATTTGACATAACGTGAAATTAGACATAAAATTATATAAAATCTTTAAATGTTCTATTTTTAGCTAAATACAGGTGCCTATTAAAAGCTCTGAGACTAAGAACTGCTCTCTGAAAAGACCTGGGGATTAAAGAAGTGCTGAAGATACACACTAGCACCGAGCACAACTTCTCCTAAATGCGAAGTTGAGAACTGAAAGAGAAATGAAAAGGGAACAATTTCCCTAACACATTATCTGATGCTCCTTAATGTGGGGTCCATGTACCACCTACCACCTAAAAGCACCTTAAATACCAAAAGTCCATGTCCCAAGTTCTGAGAAACAGTAATTAATGAGACCCCACTTTACCCTCCTGGGAGCGAGACAGGGCCGGATTCTGGAGTTGAGACAAAACTGGATTTATATTTTTTTGCGGGGCAAAGAACTTAATTAACCTTTCTGTATCTCGTTTTCTGTAAAATGAGAAAAATGAGATCTCTCTCACAGGGTTGTTGTAGAAATAAGCGAGGCGTTTCATCTGCTGCCTGGGGCTTAAGTATACAATAAATATTAACAACTACCATTATTTCCCTTTCAAAACAACAACAAAAAAGAACGTGAAGCCAGACAGCAGAAATGAGTTGCGTGGGGTCTCAGGGTTCCCAGTACACACACCCGCCGGCTCACTCCCTCAGGACCCAATCTCCCGCCTTCCACGAACTCCTACTTTTCTCTCCTTGTCCCCGCAGATCCTCACCTTCCCGCTGCCCGCGGGGCCCATGACCAGCTGCGCATACCGAGGCATGTTGGCTCCCGGAGCCGCCCGCCACACTCCCTTAGCCTTCGCGCGACGCCCACTGAGCTCCGGGAAAGTGAAGTGCGAACCAATCGCAATCCACATTCTTTCTACGCCTCCAGTTCTACCACACCTCCTACTACGGGGCAGCCCGCGGGCCAAATCCCGTGAGAAACGCGTCCTGAGAAAAAAGGGGAGGGGCGAGGGAGAGGATTTGCGCGTGCGCAAAAGTAGTTGATGGAAATCGGCCGTTGGGATGCTGTCTAAGCTTGGATACCTGAGTAATAACGGACAACAGATAAAGCTCCGCATCCTTGCGCCACGTGCTTCGGTCCGTGGTTTGCGTGCAGACGTTTGACCTGTATGGTGACCCTCGCGATTTGCAAATGTGCTGAGGATCTGGAATACTGAAGTGGAAGGCACCTCTTGTTTTGGGGAGCATGTATATTTCCCTCCTGTGACGCACTGCTTCCACAGAGAGGTGCAAACGTGCAAACGCTCAGCGACCGCAGCGCTCCTGCCCCTCCCCCACCGTAACTCCGGGGTCGCGGATCTGCCCGCCCCGCTCTCCCGAAGCTGTTCGGGCAGTGTCCGAACGGCTTCGGAGGGGCGAGAAGCCAGCATCCGAGCCGCCTCTCCGGAATACCAGCAGCCTGACGCACGCGTGCTGTCGGGGGAGGGATGCTGGGACAGCTGCTCCCGCACACGGCTCGCGGTCTCGGCGCCGCGGAGATGCCCGGCCAGGGTCCGGGGTCCGACTGGACGGAGCGTAGCTCTTCTGCAGAGCCGCCCGCTGTGGCCGGGACCGAGGGTGGCGGCGGCGGGTGAGGTTGGGGGCCCCGGGGTAAGGGTGGCAGCATGGGGCCCCCGGGTCGTGAGGCCCCCGGGTCGTGAGCCCCGTGGAGGAGGGCTGCGGCCGACCTCTCGTCTCGGGGGCTGGCCCCGGTGCCCTCAAGTGAGAGGCGGGGAGCAGTTTTGTTGTGGACAGAGGGCAGAGGGGAGGACTGCCTCGCGGTTGAGGGAGGGTCTCTGAGGGAAGCTTCGGAGGAGCGTTTGGTGCAGTGGCCACGAGGTGACTGCGACAGTCGCCCGCGTGCATCTCTCTGCCCCGAGGGGGCGCTGCGAGCCCTGCTGGGACGTTTGCTGTCTGGCACAGGACTGTGTGTCCACCGAAAGGCGAGGCGGGAGGGACAGAGGAGGAAGATGTCCCCCGGTTCAACTGGGGGCATCCAGGCCCATAAACCAGTTCCTTCCCTCTAGTGACATGAGCCACCTTCCTGTCAAACGGGGATTTCTTTTTCTTTTTTTTTCTTTTCTTTCTTGTTTTTTGAGAGCGAGACAGTCTCGCTCTGTTGCCTAGGCTGGAATGCGGTGGTGCGATCTCAGCTCACTGCAACCTCAGCCTCCCAGGTTCAAGTGATTCTCCTGCCTCAGCCTCCCGAGTAGCTGGGATTACAGGCGCCTGCCACCACGCCCGGCTAATTTTTGTATTTTTAGTAGAGAGGTGGTTTCACCATGTTGGCTAGGCTTGTGTCGAACCCCTGACCTCAAGTGAGCCGCCCGCCTCGGCCTCCCAAATTGCTGGGATTACGGGGTGAACCATTGCGCCCGACCTCAAACGAGGATTTCTAATCGCCAATGAGACCAATGACTGAATATCCGAGGTGCCTTGATCTTGACATTTTCTTCACACTGAAGTTCCTTTTTTCACAAATCTATTTCGTTTTGAGCAGGTTTTTACACCTATTTCCTAGATAGTGAAGACAGCGAGCTGTTGAAGTCACTGCTGGAGACTCTACCTCCTCTTCCTCTCCCTACTTTATTCCCTAAAAGCAAGAACTGCGATATGTTTGCCGTTCAGTACAACCCGCAGTCAGGGCCCCTGTTGCACCCATGGCCATCCTTTTTGTTTTTTTTTTTTTGAGACAGAGTCTCGTTCTGTTGCCCAGGCTGGAGTGCAGTGGTGCCATCTCAGCTCACTGCAAGCTCCGCCTCCCGGGTTCACGCCATTCTCCTCCCTCAGCCTCTGGAGTAGCTGGGATTACAAGCGCCTGCCACCACGCCCGGCTACTTTTTTGTATTTTTAGTAGAGACGGGGCTTCACCGTGTTAGCCAGGATGGTCTCGATCTCCTGACCTCGTGATCCGCCCGCATGGCCGTCCTTTTTGTCTCTGGTGCTACTGAAGACTTCTTAAAGATGGGATGGAGTCTTGGGTTTCTTTTCTGTTCTTCACAGTCCTTGGCCGACTGCAGGATCCTGGTGTATCAGGAGATACGTGAATTTTTTTTTTTTTTTTTATTGAGACAGAGTCTCCCTCTGTCACCCAGGCTGGAGTGCAGTGTCACGATCTCAGCTAACTGCAACCTCCGCCTCCTGTGTTCAAGCAATTCTCCTGCCTCAGCCTCCCAAGTAGCTGGGACTACAGGTGTGCGCCACCACGTACCTGGCTAATTTTTGTATTTTTAGTAGAGATGGGCATGAGCCTGTAATCCTGGAAGGTTCTATTATGATCCCCACTTTATGGATGACAAAACAGGCACAAAGAGGTTGTTTGTCCTTTCCTTTTATCTCCGCCTGTCGTTCATCTCCATGCTTCCTTTAGTTTATCCAAACTCTTAAAACTACAATTAAAAAAAAAGACAGTATGCCCTTCAGTTTGGTTTAAGGAACCCCATTAAAAAACACAAACCAAGACTAATTTATGAAAAGCTTATATTCCCAGAAATACAAAATAAAATTTTCAAACTAGAATCAGGTTTATTATGCTACATGATACAATGTTGGCACTGGCAGGGGTCTTAAAAATCATCAATTCCGGTCATATTTACTAATCTGAAAGGGGAAGTGATCTGCCAAAAATCCCATTATTAACTAATGGGAACTCCGGAACTCCTTACTTTTTTTCTTCTTTTTTTTTGAGATGGAGTCTCGCTCTGTCACCCAGGCTGGAGTGCAGTGGTGTGATCTTGGCTCACTGCAACCTCCGCCTCCCAGGTTCAAGCGATTCTCCTGCCTCCTGAGTAGCTGGGACTACAGGCACGTGCCACTACGCCTGGCTAAGTTTTTGCATTTTTAGTAGAGAACGGGGTTTCACCATGTTAGCCAGGATGGTCTCGATTTCCTGACCTCGTGATCCACCCGCCTCGGCCTCCCAGAGTGCTGGATTACAGGCGGGAGCTACCGTGCCCAGCACTTTTTTTCTTTAAAGTCAGGTTTATTGAGGCATAATTTACACAAATTAAAGTCTTACTTTTTCATGTATAATATGATGGGTTTTGACAAATGCACATGGCTATGTAAGCACTGCCACACTAAAGATACAGAGCAGCTCTATCACTCCTTCAAAACTCCCTCATACCTTATAAAGTCAACCTTTGAGAAAGGAAGACACAGGAGGGTTGCCAGCAGAGAAGTGATGTGATCTTACTTTACTTAAAAAGGATCACGCTGGTTGCTAGTTGGAGAATAAACTAGAAGGAGCAAGCGTAGAATTAAGAAGTTGGAATACAAGAAAACGATATGGTGGCTTGGAATAAAATAGCAAAGGAAGCGGCGGTGAAAAGTTCATAACAAAAACTTTATAAACTTGGCGCCTGGCCCATGAACTCTTGGTCATTGAATAAATTGCAGGATGAGGATCAGTTGTTTTGTCTTAAGTTTAGAAAAGAAAAAGAATTTGTACGAAATTAGAAACATTACAGACCAACTTATTAGTTCTAGCACACCTTAATTACTATTCAAAGAACAGTCTTTCGGCATGGCGTGGTGGCTCACACCTGTAATCCCAGCACTTTGGGAGGCTGAGGCGGGCGAATCAGTTGAGGTCAGGAGTTTGAGACCGGCCTGGCCAACATGGCGAAACCTTGTCTGTACTAAAGATGGAAAAATTAGCCGGGCGTGGTGGCGGGCACCTGTAATCCCAGCTACCGGGAGGCTGAAGTGGGAGAATTGCTTGGACCTGGAAGGCGGAGGTTGCAGTGAACGGAGATCACGCCATTGCACTCCAGCCTGGGCAACAGAGCAAGACTCTACCTCAAAAAAGAAAAAAGAAAAAAAAAAAAGAACAGTCTTTTCAATACCCAAATCACTTCATTAAAAATAAAGACAGCAAGATAATCACATGGATAGCCCAGGAGCCCCAACTACTTTATTGAGCTCACTGTAGGAATGAGATTAGGAAGCTATAAAATTAAGACCCAGGATAGGCATGGTGGCTCACATCTGTACAAAAATTAGCCAGGCGTTTTGGTGGTCCTGGCTACTTGGTGGCTGAGGATCGTTTGAGCCCAGGATTTTGAGGCTGCGGTGGGCTATGATCACGACACTGCACTCTAGCCTGGGTGAAGGAGGGAGACCCCATCTCTAAAAAAGGAAAGAAAAAAATCTTGGAGCCATTAGGATTTAACCAGAATTATAGGAAAAAATTTGTAAGACATTATTTCTGATGGAAACATGAAAAGTAAAAATAATATGCAACACTATCCTTTTTTAAAATTTGAAATATGTTGGTTGGGTGCAGTGGCTCACACCTTTAATCCCATCACTTTGGGAGGCTGAGGCAGGCAGATCATCTGAGGTCAGGAGTTTGAGACCAGCCTGGCCAATATGGTGAAACCGTCTGTACTAAAAATACAAAAATTAGCTGGGTGTAGCAGCGCTAGTCCCAGCTACCTGGGAGGCTGAGGTGGGAGAATCACTTGAAACTGGGAGGCAGAGGTTCCAATGACCTGAGATCATGCCACTGCACTCCAGCCTGGGTGACAAAGTGAGACCCTGTCTCAAAAAAAAAAAAAAAAAAAAAAAAAAAAATTGAAATATGTTGTTCAGTGCTTGTAACATTGTAATTATTACATATTATTTATATGCTTTATTTTTTCAACAGATCAGCTGGATACTCTTGTTACCAGAATTCCAAAGGTTCTGGTGAGTAGTGCATATAAAGCAGATAATACTTATAAGTAACATGGTTCTGAGAAGCCTATTTGTCTGTAACTACTTACACAATAGAGTTTTTTTCTTTTTTCTTTTTTTTTTGAGATGGAGTCTCACTCTGTTGCCTGGGCTGGAGTGCAGTAGTGCGATCTGGGCTCACTGCAACCTCTGCCTCCTGGGTTCAAGCGATTCTCCTGCCTCAGCCTCCTGAGTAGCTGGGACTACAGATGCGTGCCACCATGCCTGGCTAATTTTTCTATTTTTAGTAGAGACAGGGTTTCGCCATGTTGGCCAGGCTGGTCTGGAGCTCCTGACCTCAGGTGATCCACCTGCCTCCGCCTCCCAAAGTGCTGGGATTACAGGCATGAGCCACCACACCCAGCCCACAATAGAGTTAAAAATAGATTGTATTAGCATCCTTGGTGAACTTAGTCTTTAAGATTTCAAAGAGCAATCAGGGAGGTTTTTCTTGTCTGTTGGTACAGTATATTTTACATCAAGCATTTTTAAAATTAGCAGTGAATCCTAAAAGAACTGTATTTATAGCTGACGTTGGTTGAAAAGCACAGAGCACAGCCTGGGGTTTATACATGGATAGAAGAAAAAAATTCTAAATTGAATAGCTTCAAAGAATACAAAATATTTCTCAGTGCTGATGTTTTCCTCTCACTTGAAATAAAGAATAGAGCTTTCAAAGTATTCACCTCTTCTCTGCTGGAGTTAAGAGAGTAGGTAAAACAATCCCCCAAAGGTCTCTCACTAATTGCTTTTTTTCCCTTGGGAGAGGAGCTGGAATTAACTGACTGTAGGAGTGTGTGTGTATGTATATATATTTTAAGTATAGTAGTTATAATAGGTTTTAAATGTTTCATTTAAATTCAGTGATACATAAACCTGGGTTCACTTTGCTTTTCCTTGGTAAATATATAGTCATTACAGTTACCTGGGAAAAAAATATACAGACATATATGTGTGCATATATACATATATAAATAAATAATATGGTCATTTAAAAAATGTGTTGCAGTCTGGGTTCATTAATTTAGATTCCTCACCAAAATTCTTACTGAATTATAGTTCAGTGTAAAAAAGAAAGGAAACACAAAACAATATAATTATTAGTAATATATTCCAGATGTGGAGGGAAATAAAGAAATATTAACAATTATCAGTATATTAGATTGACTTAGTTATATAAAAGAAAAATTTCTAAACAAATATATGCCTAGTAAAAACTCTGAAAGGCAATATGTCAAAGTGTTTTAAAATAATTACTACTAGGCCGGGCACGGTGGCTCACACCTGTAATCCCAGTACTTTGGGAGGCCGAGGTAGGTGGATCACCTGAGGTCAGGAGTTCAAGACCAGCCTGACCAACATGGTGAAACCCCGTCTCTGCTAAATATACAAAAAAATTAGCCAGGTGTGGTGGTGCACGTCCGTAGTCCCAGCTACTCGGAAGGCTGAGGCAGGAGAATCACTTCAACTCAGGAGGCGGAGGTTGCAGTGAGCTAAGATCATGCCACTGCACTTGAGCCTGGGCGACAGAGCGAGACTCTGTCTCAAAAAAAAAAAAAAAAAAAAAAAAAAAATGCTGGGCGCCGTGGCTCACGCCTGTAATCCCAGCACTTTGGGAGGCTGAGGCGGGCAGATCACCTGAGGTCAGAAATTCGAGACTAGCCTGACCAACATAGAGAAACCCCGTCTCTACTAAAATAAAAAATCAGCTGGGTGTGGTGGTGCATCCCTATAATCCCAGCTACTCCAGGCAGGAGAATCGCTTGAACCTGGGAGGCAGAGGTTGCGGTGAGCCGAGATCGCGCCATTGAACTCCAGCCTGGGCAACAAGAGTGAAACTCCATCTCAAAAAAAAAAATTAATTAAAAAAAATTACTACTAGATTGTGGAATTAAAAGTTTTTATTTTCTTTTTATACACTTAGTTTACTTCACTAATCTGCAGTGAACAATGTGTATTGCTGTTTATAATTGGAGGGGAAAAGGGCCAGTATTCAGCAAGTGCTTGATTGTCTTCCTCTATAGTTGAACTTAAGGATTCATTCTATTATTTAAAATAAACACGATAGCCAACTACTGGCAGTGACTCTAGATATTACTGTTATTATTATTTTTGAGACGGAGTCTCACTCTGTCGCCCAGGCTGGAGTGCAGTGGTGTAATCTTGGCTTATTGCAACCTCGGTCTCCCAGGTTCAAGCGATTCTCATGCCTCAGCCTCCCAAGTAGCTGGGATTACAGGCACACGCCACCATGCCTGGCTGATTTTTGTATTTTTAGTGGAGACGGGGTTTCACCATGTTGGCAAGGCTGGTCTTTAACTCCTGACCTCAGGTTATCCTCCCGCCTTGGCCTCCCAAAGTGCTGGGCAGGCATGAGCCACAGCGCCTGGCCCTCTTTATTCTTAAATACTTCCAAGTGTGTATTTCCTTTATTTATTTATTATAAGGCAAGGTTTCACTTTGTCTCCCAGGCTGGAATGCAGTGGTGCAATCTCAGCTAACTGCAGCCTCGACCTCCCTGGCTCAAGTGATCCTCTCGCCTCAGCTTCCCAAGTAACTGGGACTTCACCCCTGGCAAAAAAAAAAAAAAAAAAGTGGGGGTATTTATCTTAGCTATATTTTGTACTCTATCCCCCAGGCAGGAGTGCGGGGATACAATCGGCTCACTGCAGCCTCCACCTCCTGGGCTCAAGTGATCCTCCCACCTTACCCTCCAGAGTAGCTGGGACTACAGGCATGCGCCACCACACCCAGCTAATTTTTATATTTTTAGTAGAGATAGGAGTCTTGCCAAGTTGCCCAGGCTGGTCTCAAACTCCTGGGCTCAAGCAATCTGAACACCTCGGCCTCCCAAAGTGCTGGGATTACAGGCGTGAGCCACCACGCCTGGCCTATCTTAACTACATTTATTTATCTCACAAAATAATTATCCAAATCAAGAACTTGAAATACTGTTATCTATAGACCTTATTAAGATATCGTTTATTATTTCAATAATATCCTTTATAGCCAAAAATAAAAAAAATCCAAGTTTATGAATAGCATTCAGTTGTCAATGTTTTTTTTTTTTTTGAGACGGAGTTTTGCCCTGTCACCCAGGCTGGAGTCCAGTGGCGCGATCTCGGCTCACTGCAAGCTCTGCCTCCCAGGTTCACGCCATTCTCCTGCCTCAGCCTCCCGGGTAGCTGGGACTACAGTCGCCCACCACCACGCCCCGCTAATTGTTTGAATTTTTTTTCTTTTTAGTAGACATGGGGTTTCACCATGTTAGCCAGGATGGTCTCAATCTCCTGACCTCGTGATCTACCCGCCTCGGCCTCCCAAAGCGCTGGGATTACAGGTGTGAGCCACCGCGCCTGGCCTAATGTTTTTATGTTTCTTAGCTTTTTTCTTTTTTTTGAGACGAAGTCTCACTCTGTCGCCCAGGCTGGAGTGTTGTTGCACAATCTTGGCTCACCGCAACCTCTGCCCCACCAGGTTCAAGCAGTTCTTGTGTCTCAGCCTCTCGAGTAGCTGGGATTATAGGCACATGCCACCATGCCTGGCTAATTTTTGTATTTTTAGTAGAGACAGGGTTTCACCATATTGGCCAGGCTGGTCTCAAACTCCTGACCTAAAGGATTTGCCCACCTCGGCCTCCCAAAGTGCTGGGATTACAGGTGTGAGCCACCGCGCCCGGCCGACATTGATATTTTTGAAGAATACAGGCCTGTGGGGTTTTGTTTGTTTGAGACAGGTTCTCACCCTGTTGCCCAGGCTGGAGTGCAGTGGCACAATTACAGCACACTGCAGCCTCAACCTCCTGGGCTCAGGTGATCCTCCCACCTAAGCCTTCAAGTAGTTGGGACTACAGGTGTGAGCCACTACATCTGGCCCAGGCCTGTTCTTTTGTAGAATTTCCCTAAATTTGGGTTTGTTTGATGTTTCCTCCGATGAGATTCAGCTTATGTCCTTCTAGCAGGAATAGCACAGAAGTGGTGCTGAGTTTGTCCAGGTTAATCATATCAGGAGAACCCTGCTGTGCATTAGTCCCTTACTGACAATGTTGTCATCGTTTGGTTCAGGTGATGTCTGCCAGCTTTCACCACTGTAAAGTTATGATTCTTACCCTTTGTAAAGGTAAAAGTATATGGGGATATACTTTGAGACTTTGTATATAGCCTATTACTTCTCAAACTTTCATCCATTAATCATCCATTCTTTTATTTATTTATTTATTTATTTTGAGACGGAGTCTCGCACTGTCTCCTAGGCTGGAGTGCAGTGGTGCAATCTCGGCTTACTGCAAGCTCCGCCTCCCGGGTTCACGCCATTCTCCTGCCTCAGCTTCCTGAGTAGCTGGGACTACAGGCGCCCGCCACCACGCTCGCCTAATTTTTTTGTATTTTTTTTAGTAGAGACGGGGTCTCACTGTGTTAGCCAGGATGGTGTCTATCTCCTGACCTCGTGATCCACCTGCCTCGGCCTCCCAAAGTGCTGGGATTACAGGCGTGAGTCAACGCGCCCAGTCTTGTCATCCATTCTTGACTAAATCCATTATGATTAAGATGGCTAGAAATATGTGCTTTTTCTTTTTTTTTGAGACAGAGTCTCCCTCTGTCGCGCAGGCTGGAGTGCAGTGGCGCAATCTCGGCTCACTGCAAGCTCCGCCTCCCGGGTTCATGCCATTCTCCTGCCTCAGCCTCCCGAGTAGCTGGGACCACAGGTGCCTGCCACCATGCCCGGCTAATTTTTTGTATTTTTAGTAGAGACGGGGTTTCACCATGTTAGCCAAGATGGTCTCAATCTCCTGACCTTGTGATCTGCCCACCTCTGCCTCCCAAAGTGCTGGGATTACAGGCGTGAGCCCCCGTGCCCAGCCATATGGACTTTTTCTAATTCCATCATTGATTCTACATTTTTCAGATGGCTTTCTAATGAAGAGCTTCCCTTTCTCTACCATTTTTCAATTTATATATTTATTATATAATTGTCAACACATGGATTCTTATACCATTGAATAGGTTAAATACTTTACTTTAAATCTGTTATTTATTTTGATGCTCAAATTATCCCAGATTTGGCCAGTGGGAGCCCTTTAAAGATGGCTCTTGTTCTCTGTCTCCATTATCCTTTGAAAACTTTTATCTTTTAGCACAAAACGTTGTACTGTCCCTGTTCTACCCTTGATGTCTGCCATTTCTCCAAAGAGCCTGTGGTAGGCAGCATGGTCCCCAAAGATGTTCACACTCTAATCTCTCTAACCTGTAAATATGTTATGTTACATGGCAGGAGCAATTTTGCAGGTAAAATTAAGTTATAACCCTCAAAAGAGATGTTATTTTGAATTTTCTGGGTGGGCCCAGCCTAGCCCAAGGCAGAGGAGTTTCTCTGGCTGAAGTCAGACAGATGTGGGGAAGAGAAGCAGTTAGATGTGAAAGGAGAGATCTTAACACCCCATTGTTGGCTTGAAGATGAAGAGAGCCACATGTCAAGGAAATAGGGACTTTGGTTTTGTAAGGAACTGAATTCTGCCAACAACCTGAATGAACCACTACAGGCTCCAGGCACCCCAGTCCAGCCCAGGCACCCCGATGCCTTGATTTTGGCCTTGTGAGATTCTAAGCAGAGAACCCAGTGGATTCATGTTATACTCAGTCTTTTGAGCTATAGAACTATGAGTCAATACGTGAGTGTTGTTTTAAGCCGCTAAAGTTGTGTTGTTATGGCAGCAAAATGAAACTAACATAGAGCCCCTTTTTAAAAAATTGTATATATTTAAGGCCGGGCGCGGTGGCTCACGTCTGTAATCCCAGCACTTTGGGAGGCCGAGGCGGGTGGATCACGAGGTTAAGAGATCGAGACCATCCTGGCTAACACGGTGAAACCCCCGTCTCTACTAAAAATACAAAAAATTAGCCGGGCGTCGTGGCTGGCGCCTGTAGTCCCAGCTACTCGGGAGGCTGAGGCAGGAGAATGGCGTGAACCTGGGAGGCGGAGCTTGCAGTGAGCCTGGGCAACAGAGCGAGACTCTGTCTCAAAAAAAAAAAAAAATTATATATTTAAAGTAGAGAAGAGTACGTAGAAACCAAGATCTGGGTGCTAGGTGTGCTTATTTATAATATACTTTCATTGCTTCTAGACTTTCTCCGAGGACAGTGCTGGGAAAGAAATGTGTGTGCATTTACCTGTGAGCACATACATACCCATACATATCTATTTCAATATTTCTACTAACTCCAAATTCCAATCCAACAAACAGGGTTTATTCTGTGCTTTCCTCTTTCCATATTAATAGGTAACTCGTCTCCAAAAGTGTGAGACCTGCTTATTAACTACAATATATTATTTGCTTCGTCCTAAGATGTATAAAAAAGTAGTTTCTAAAGTGCTAACACATGCTTCTGAAAAAAAAAAAAAAGAAGCCTAGTAGGCTGGGCGCAGTGGCTCACGCCTGTAATTCCAGCACTTTGGAAGGCTGAGGTAGGTGGATCACGAGGTCAGGAGATTGAGACCATTCTGGCCAACATGATGAAACCCCGTCTCTACTAAAAATACAAAAAATTAGCTGGGCATGGTGGCGCGTGTCTGTAATCCCAGCTACTTGGGAGACTGAGGCAGGAGAATCACTTGAACCAGGGAGTTGGAGGTTGCAGTGAGCAGAGATCGCGCCACTGCACTCCAGCCTGGCGACAGAGCAAGGCTCCATCTAAAAAAAAACCCAAAAAAAACAAAAAACAAAACAACAAAAAAAAGCCTAGTAGTTAATTAGAGATCAGTATTTGCTTAGAGTTGTTTTTGTTTGAGGGCATATAGTCCAAGCAGTATATTCAAAAGTTCTTGGGTTGGTTAACTATTTATTTGTGGTAAAATATACATAATATAAAATTTACTATTTTAATCTTTTTTTTTTTCTTTGAGATGGAGTTTCGCTCTTGTTGCCCAGGCTGGAGTGCAATGGCTCGATCTCGGCTCACTGCAACCGCTGCCTCCTGAGTTCAAGCGATTCTCCTGCCTCAGCCTCCTGAGTAGCTGGGATTACAGGTGCACCCCCACCACGCCTAGCTAATTTTTTTTTTTTTTTTTTTTTTTTTTTTGAGATGGAGTCTCACTCTGTTGCCCAGTCCGGAGTGCAGTGGCACGATCTTGGCTCACTGCAAGCTCCACCTCCCGGGTTCACGCCATTCTCCTGCCTCAGCCTCCTGAGTAGCTGGGACTACAGGCGCCTGCCACCATGCTTGGCTAATTTTTTTATATTTTTCTAGAGACGGGGTTTCACCATGTTAGCCAGGATGGTCTCGATCTCCTGACCTCGTGATCCGCCCGCCTCGGCCTCCCAAAGTGCTGGGATTAAAGGTGTGAGCCACCACGCCCAGCCTAAGGGTTTCACCATGTAGGCCAGGCTGGTCTCAAACTCCTGGACTCAAGTGATCTGCCCGCCTCAGCCTCCCAAAGTGCTGGGATGTATAGGCATGAGCCAATGCACCTGGCCCATTTTAATCATTTTTAAGTGTACATTTCAGTGGCATTAAGTATATTCACACTGTTGTGCAACCACTACCACCATCCATTTCCAGAAAGTTTTCATCTTCCCAAACTAAAACTCCGTACCTATAAAACACTAACTCTCAGGTGGGTGCAGTGGCTCGTGTGTGTAATCCCAGCACTTTGGGAGGCTAGGGCTGGAGGATCGCTGGAGCCCAGGAGTTTGAGACCAGCCTGGGCAACATAAAATTAACTTTAGTTTTTTTTGTCTCTAAAAGAAAATTTAAAAACAAAATAAAAAACCACTAATTCCCTATATACCTCCTTTCCCCTGACCTCTTGCAACCTCCATTCTTTCACTCCGTATATATTTGATTTTCCTAGGTATCTCATAAAAGTTAAATCATACAATATTTGTCCTTTGTGACTGGCTTATTTCACTTAGCATGTCTTCAGGGTTCATCCATATTGTACCATGTGTCTGAATTCTCTTATTTTTTTAAAGCTAAATAATATTCCATTGTTTGTATATACCACATTTTGTTTATATATTCACCTGTTGATGGATACTTGGGTTTCTTCCACTTTTTGGCTATTATGAAGTAATGCTGCTATGAGCATGGATAAATAATCTGTTTGAGTCCCTGCTTTCAGTTCTTTTGGAATTGCTGGATCAGAAGTGGAATTATTAGATTATATGGCAATTCTATGTTTAAATGTTCGAGGCACTGCCATACTATTTTTCTTTTTCTTTTGAGTCAGTCTCACTCTGTCACCCAGGCTGGAGTGCAGTTGCAGTAACTCAGCTCACTGCAACCTCTGCCTGCCAGGTTCAAGTGATTCTTCTGCCTCAGCCTCCCAAGTAGCTGGGATTACAGGGGTGTGACACCATGCCTGGCTAAGTATTTTGTGTGTGTGGTTTTTTTTTTTTTTTAGTAGAGACGGGTTTCACCATGTTGCCCAGGCTTGGTCTCGACTCCCAACCTCAGGTGATCTGCCTGCCTCAGCCTCCCAAGGTACTGGGGTTATACAGGCATGAGCCACCATGCCCAGCCTATTTATTTTTAAGTGCTTCATTTTCTGTAAAGAAATGTTATCAAGCTATTGAGAAATTAAGTGTTGGTCCAAAATATAATATGCATCTCAGAAATATTGTTTATTAAGGACACAATTCATATTCTTATATAAATAGCCTCTGTTTACAACTTGAAAAAGGATTTCCAAAACAAAAAACTTTTAAAAATCTTAAATTGGCATTCATATTATTACAGATTATAAGTTATGTTTCAAGGGTCATAATACAATTTCCAAATGATTTTCCATTTCTTGGTCAACTAGTTAGTCCTTACCTGTAGTATCCAACTTGCCAAAATCTTGAAGAAATAACTAAATTTAAAGTTTAATACAAAACTGAAATAGCCTGTTATTAATAATATTGAAACAAAAATGTGCTTATTGAATTCAACTAACTATATACTTTTTTTTTTTTTGAGACAGAGTCTCACTCTGTCACCCAGGCTGGAGTGCAGTGTTGCGATCTCGGCTCACTGCAACCTCCACCTCCTGGGTTCAAGAGATTCTCCTGCCTCAGCCTCCTGAGTAGCTGGGACTACAGGTGTACGCCACCACACCTGGCTAACTTTTATATATTTTTAGTAGAGACAGGGTTTTGCCATGTTGGCCAGGCTGGTCTCCTGACCTCAAGTGATCTGCCCGCCTCAGCCTCCCAAAGTGCTGGGATTACAGGCATGGGCCACCACACCCGGACGCAAACTTTTAACTTAAAATGTGTCTTTCCAGCTTTATTTGTAATAGACAAAAAGTGGAAACTACCCAAATGTCTATCAACAGGTACATAATCAAATAACAGTGTAAACATATATACAATAGAAGATAACCCAACAGGCCGGGCACGGTGGCTCACGCCTGTAATCCCAGCACTTTGGGAGGCTGAGGCGGTCAGATCACAAGCTCAGGAGATCGAGACCATCCTGGCTAACATGGTGAAACCCCGTCTCTACTAAAAATACAAAAAATTAGCCGGGCGCAGTGGCGGGCGCCTGTAGTCCCAGCTACTCGGGAGGCTGAGGCAGGAGAATGGCATGAACCTGGGAGGCGGAGCTTGCAGTGAGCCGAAATGGCGCCACTGCAATCCAGTCTGGGCAACAGAGCAAGACTCCATCTCAAAAAAAAAAAAAAAGATAACCCAATGATAAAAATAAATGAACTATTTGTTACATGTGACATGAGTGGATCTCAAAATCGTTAGGTTGAGTGAAAAACCAGACAAAAAATGAGTACTGTGTATTCCCATTTATATCAAACTCAAGAAAATGCAAATGAATCTATGGTAATAGAAAGCACATCAGTGGTTGCCTGGAGAAGGGAGTGTGCAGGGAAGAGGGATGTATTATTATAAAAAGAGACATTTCGGGGCCAGGCGCGGTGGCTCATGCCTGCAACCCCAGCACTTTGGGAGGCCAAGGCGGGCAGATCACGAGGTCAGGAGATCAAGACCATACTGGCTAACACAGTGAAACGCCGTCTCTACTAAAAATACAAAAACTAGCTGGGCGTGGTGGCGGGCACCTGTAGTCCCAGCTACTCAGGAGGCTGAGGCAGGAGAATGGCGTGAACCCGGGAGGTGGAGCTTGCAGCTTGCAATGAGCCGAGATGGTGCCACTGCACTCCAGCCTGGGCGACAGAGCGAGACTCCTTCTCAAAAAAAAAAAAAGAGGCATTTCGTGATTTAATTGTCAGAGACTATTTTTCCCAAAACTGCTAGTGAAGCTTATACCCTAAATTACTAGTCTCAGTATGTCTGAAACTGAAAACCAGTTCCCATTCTTCTGGGAATATGTTTCAACTTTTATTTTTTACTAAAAGGTTATTCTTTTATGCTGTCCACAACTGTTTTTAAAACAATGAAATACGCTGGGCATGGTGGCTCATGCCTGTAATCCCAGCACTTTGGGAGGCCAACGCAGGCGGATCACCTGAGGTCAGGTGTTTGGGACCAGCCTAGCCATCATGGTAAAACCCCATCTCTACTAAAAATACAAAAATTAGCTGGTAGTGCATGCTTGCAATCCCAGCTACTTGGGGTGCTGAGGCAGGAGAATCGCTTGAACCTGGGAGGTGGAGGTTGCAGTGAGCTGAGATTGTGCCAGCACTCTAGCCTGGGCAATAGAGTGAGACCCCATCTCAAAAACAAACAAAAATCAACAACAAAAAATGAAATAACTGAAACTATGTAAAAATAAATTTTGATAAATTTCTGCAGTCTTTCATGTTAATACTACATCTCCAAAGGGATAAAATTTGTGTTACTCTAGTCTAATACAGAATAGAATTTTAAGGCCGAGTGCAGTGGCTCACACCTATAATCCCAGCTACTTGAGAGGCAGAGGCGGGAGAATCTCTTGAGCCCAGGAGTTTGAGGCTGCAGTGAGCTATGATTATGCCACTGCACTCCAGCCTGGGCGTCAGAGATCCCATCTCTTAAAAAAAGATTTAAAAAACTATATACTAAAGTTAGGCCGGGCGCCGTGGCTCACGCCTGTAATCCCAGCACTTTGGGAGGCTGAGGCGGAGGATCATGAGGTCAGGAGATCGAGACCATCCTGGCTAACACGGTGAAACCCCATCTCTACTAAAAATACAAAAAATTAGCCGGGCATGGTGGCAGGTGCCTGTAGTCCCAGCTACTCGGGAGACTGAGACAGAAGAATGGCATGAACTGGGGAGGCGGAGCTTGCAGTGAGCTGAGATCGCGCTACTGCACTCCAGCCTGGGGGACACAGAGAGACTCCGTCTCAAAAAAAAAAAAAAAAAAAAAAAAAAAAACTATATAGTAAAGTTAAATGATAATAAAATATTACTGTAAATCATTAAAGCACAAATCCTGCGTGTATATTTTCTCTTTGGTATGTTTCTGACATGATGTTACTGTCAACACTTTGCATCTTAGCTGAGTTCAAAATAATGTATTATATATAAATAAAATATTTATTTACAAGTATCTTTGATGTTGTTTGTGTGCTCTAAAACCAAATGGCATACCATACAGTCTCTTCAAATTTAAGTCTGAGTGAAAATATTCAGTACTACTCCAGGATAATCACTGACACATGTAAATATCTAGATCTTTTTTTTTTTTTTAAGACGGAGTCTCACTCTTTCGCCCAGGCTGGACTGCAGTGGCGCTATCCTGGCTCACTGCAAGCTCCGCCTCCCGGGTTCACGCCATTCTCCTAAATTTTTTGTATTTTTAGTAGAGACAGGGTTTCACCGTGTTAGCCAGGATGGTCTCGATCTCCTGACCTCGTGATCCACCCACCTCGGCCTCCCAAAGTGCTGGGATTACAGGCGTGAGCCACCACACCCGGCCTAAATATCTAGATCTTAATAATTCAGTTTGTTGAACTGATCTTTGCCTCTGAAATTCACATGATGTCTTTGCCTACAGATAGAATCAAAGATGGATACAAAGTGAACTCACACATAGCTAAGCTGCAAGAGTTATGGAAAACTCCCCAAAATCAAACAATCCACCTCTCTAAATCAATGATGGAGGCGTCCTTTTTCAAGGTATGCTAACAGGGACATATTTAAATACCAATACTCTTTGTATTCAGAGCCGAACTTTTTACTGAAGATCAGCTGCTTAGAGGGTGAGATACTGCAGATGACAAGGCATATGCAGTATAATTGTCTAGGAGTCAATAAATATCTTTGAGTAAACTCATGAATGAATGTAAAGATTATACATTCTTTATCATAAGAGTTATTTCATGGTTTTATGATACTTCATATCTAATGTATCTTTACTGAGGGGAAGCTTAATGCCCCAACCACAGAGATGCTCAAGAAAAGTTCCATCTTTTCTTGAAAATAGAAACCCAACTTCACACATATTTTACTCAAGGACTACAAAATTAAGAAGAAAGCAGGTAAAGAAAATGGCAGTAATTAGCTTGCAAGTAGGATTTAAAAAAAGAAAAATAAATAAAAGAAAATGGCAATAAGGATTTTACAATGGTTACCTGTATCCCATTAACGATCGTAACTGCTAAAAGTATCTCTAGAGCAATGTGAATTAGGGTAAATTTTTCTAACATTTTGCATTTTCTTTGAACTTACCATGTATTCAGTAAAGTAAATCTTGTATATATAGTGGAATCATACATCTTAAGTGAACATTAACTTCTAAATCAGCAAGTGCAATGAAAATCTCAAGTCAAAATTACTTAGAGACTAACATACTATCCCTCAGAATGTCCAACACAGTCAGTTATTCTTCTGGTGCTGGAAAAGAATGTTTCTTCAGTTGAGACTAAGTAGAGTAATTGGATTGATTTTAGGTACCATGTTATACCTCAAAAATCATTTTGAGAAGGCAAGATGCCCACACTGAGAGGCGCACAGCAAGTAACACTTGACAGAACAGCAGATTCGCTCTTTCCTTGTTCATCTAGAGCAATGGGTTCTCCGACTTCAAAGGGCATCTGAATCACCCGAGTGGAATGGCAAGCAGAGCCACTTGCACTGTTTAATTGGCCATTTCTTTCTCTTTTGTCAAGTTAACGTAGTTGAATTTGCTAAAGTAAAATACAGTTGGCACAACTCTCTTGAACATTCATCTCTTCAGATAAGGAATATTGCCAACTTCTCTAATACAATGCAGACTATAAATCCTCTTATTCTGTCTTTTAGCATCCAGACCTCACCACAGGCCAGAAGCGTTACCTGTGCAGCATTGCTAAAATCTATAATGCAAACTATCTGAAGATGTTAATGAAGAGGCAGTACATGCACGTACTTCAGCACAGCTCACAAAAGCCAGGCAGGTGCACCTCCAGTTGTCTTTTCACTAGTTTTTACAATTAGTGAGAGGGTCTTTTAACAGGTGATTTGTATCACAGGTGTCCTCACTCATCACAGAAGCCGCCTTAGCTCCCGTTACTCACAGAAACAGCATTACCCTTGCACTACATGGCGACATCAACTGGAGAGAGAGGACTCGGGGTCTTCTGATATCGCAGCTGCATCTGCACCTGAAATGCTCATACAGCATTCCCTTTGGCGGCCAGTGAGAAACAAAGAAGGGTCTGTTTCTTAGTGTAAAAGGGGGGAAATGCATCTCAGTTTAATTTTTTTTTTTCTCAGACAGGGTTTTGTTCTCTCACCCAGGCTGGAGTGTAGTGGTGTGATACAGTTTACTGTATTCTCAAACTCCTGGGCTCAAGCAATGCTCCTGCCTCAGACTCCCAAGTAGCTAGGGCTAAAGGCACAAACCACCATGCCCTGCTAGTTAAAAAAAATTGTTTGTACAGAAAGCATCTCACTATGTTGGCCAAGGTACTCTCACCTCCGCCTCCCAAAGCACTGGGATTACAGGCGTGAGCTACTGTGCCCAGCCTTCCCCATCTCTTTTGAAGGGTAGCTAAGTGATATTAATGGTTGTGTTCCCTAATATATTCACTTTGCTAAATTCAGAATAGGCTGGACTTTTAAAAAGCAGAGATACTTTTTTTTTTTTTGAGACCGAGTTTCGCTCTTGTTGCCCAGGCTAAAGTGCACTGGCGCGATCTCGGCTCACCGCAACCTCCACTTCCCGGGTTCAAGCGATTCTCCTGCCTCAGCCTTCCTGAGTAGCTGAGATTACGGGCATGCGCCACCATGCCCGGCTAATTTTGTATTTTTAATAGAGACGGGGTTTCTCCATGTTGGTCAGGCTGGTCTTGAACCCCCAACCTCAGATGATCTGCCCGCCTTGGCCTCCCAAAGTGCTGGGATTACAGGCATGAGCCACCATGCCTAGCCGAGAGATATTTTCATACTTTTTCTTTACTGCACTGATAAGAATATGCCACTTCTTTTAGAATATATTTTGTGGAATTATAAAAATTTCTTTATCAGATAGAGTTATGGATGACTGCCCTTTTCAATATAATTCCCACTCAACCTCAAAATAATGCAAATACTTTCAAAAGGAGAAGAATATGGTTGGTTATGCACAGGGGAATACTATATAACAGGGAGAGGAAAAAGATTAAGCAGCATGAGTATTGAAATTGCACTGCAGCAGCTTTACATGTCAGGGTTAAGAAATTACAGGAGAATCTGGGTGCTGAAAGGGTCTTTTTGGTGATGTTGGCAGCTAATAAAACAAATTTGTGTGGTCTTCCACATGCCCTAGGCAGCTGTTCACTTTGCTGGCTCCAACTAAGATACTTCCCTTTCTTATAGGATAAAAACTGGATATGCATCTAAAACAAGATGTAAGTCACTGAAGATTTTTAGAAGACCAAGGAAACTGTTCATGCAAACAGGTAAATGTGGAAATTTAACAATATTCATTTTTTAAGATCTTATGCTTAAAAATACTATACCAAATACAATTTCATTTCTATTATGAAGATATTAACAAATTTAGAATATGATTTGCTTTTATTGTCACAAATAAAAAACCAAACATAAAATATAGTTTATGCTTGCAATTAAAAGAACATACTGGGCCAGGCGCCACGGCTCACGCCTGTAATCCCAGCACTTTGGGAGGCCGAGTCAGGCAGATCACCTGAGGTCAAGAGTTCGAGACCCGCCTGGCCAACATGGCGAAACTCCCATCTCTATTAAAAATACAAAACTTAGCTGGGCGTGATGGCAGGCGCCTGTAATCCCAGCTACTTGGGAGACTGAGGCAGGAGAATCGATTGAACCTGGGAGGCGGAGGTTGGAGTGAGCTGAGATTGCGCCACTGTACTCCAGCCTGGGTGACAGAGTGAGACTCCATCTCAAAAAAAAAAAAAAAAAGAAAAGAAAAGAAAAAAAGAACATACTGCTCAAAAGAGTAAGATTCAAGGTATTTCTAATGCTAAAGATACTTACAATATCAAGGTCAAAGACTTAGTAGAGAATGAATTCGTCTGAACCCAGAACCACAAACATGACCTTCTCAAGCAACAGCACTTCTTTTATGAGTTAGTGCTATTTTTGGATGAACATATTTTGTATAGCATCTATTAGTTTACAAAGTGCTACATCTCTTATAGTAGGCCCTTCTTATCCATGGGGAATATGTTCCAAGACCCCCAGTGGATGGCTGAAATCTTGGATACTACTGAACCCTATACTTTGTTATTTCCTAAAAAACACATATCTATGATAAAGTTTTAATTTATAAATTAGGCACATAAAGAGATTAACAACAATAAATAATAGAACAATTTTATAACAATATACTGTAATAAAAGTTATGTGAATGTGGTCTCTCTCAAAATATCTTATACTGTACCTTGGAAAGCAAGACTGTGGATAAGGAGGGACTTCTGTATACCATTTTGTTTGATATTCAACAAAACAGTGGAGGCAAGCCAAGCAGGTGATATTATCAAAATTTTACAGCTGCAACTCAGACAAATCCAGACTTTGGAAGGATCAGCATAAAGGATCCTTCTACCACAAGAACAAAATACTGCAAAATGAAAAAGGGAAGACAGACCGAATGATCAGAAGTATTCCTCAGAACTGATAATGTTAAATCATGTTAAGTAGTTTCCTAGTTATCAGCATAGTGAAGTAGGGAGGTGGGTAAGAAGTAGGGAAGTTGGCCAGGCGCAGTGGCTCATGCCTGTAATCTCAGCACTTTGGGAGGCCAAGGCTGGCAGATCACCTGAGGTCAGGAGTTCGAGAGCAGCCTGACCAACATGGAGAAACCCTGTCTCTACTAAAAATACAAAATCAGCCGGGCGTGGTGGCACATGCCTGTAATCCCAGCTACTCGGGAGGCTGAGGCAGGAGAATGGCGTGAACCTGGGAGGCGGAGCTTACAGTGAGCCAAGATCGCGCCACTGCACTCTAGTCTCCAAAAAAAAAAAAAACTGAAGTAGGGAAGTTAGGCCTTCTGAATTGATATCCCATCACTGTATGACAGTGTTAGCCAGCTTTGCTGTAAATATCGTACCATGCCTATCCAAGAAATGAGGGAAAGGGCAGGAGAGAAGGGGTAAGTCAGGTTCCAAAAGGTACAGTTAGCGGAAACTGTAGGGGGGGGAGTCCCTGTGGTCCCCAATAGAAGAGATGAGAAGGAACTAAATGAAAATGCAGAGATTCTGAAGATGTAACTGACCACTTTAATTTCCCCCAACTGAAAGATTTTGAAAATCAATGGTAAAACAGGACTTAGTAACAAGAGAATTTGCTGTACAGTAACTTGGCTAGAATACAGTATTGTGTATCTTAAAGAGTAAGAAACTTGGGGGAAGGATGAGGTGACTAAGAGCCTTGAAAATTGCAGGCAATTTGTCTTTACTACAGGCTTATTAATAAGCCAGGTCATTTTGAAAGTTGTACTTAGAGCTTTATTTCCAAAACAGACAATTGTAAATTCTTATTTTTCCTTCAGTTTCTTCAGATGATTCTGAATCACACATGAGTGAAGAAAAAAAGGAAGAAGATTTACTAAATAATTTTATGCAATCAATGTCAATTGAAGAACAGGGAGAACATCTGATGTTAACTTGACAGTCTTGTCTCGTGTATTGAATTCGTGCCAAAGGTGAGGGTAAGGGGTTGTGAGTTGTGTCCTGTATGTTTAGGATGGTATTGTTATTTATTAAATCATTAAGTAATTTTGGTTTGTTCAGAAACTTAAAACAATGTAATTGGTCTGATGTAGTTCCATGTACCAATGATAGTTATGTAAGAAAATTTACATGTAACATATACTTGTACTTCTAGCTAGATACAATTAAAACTTTTCTTGCATTCAATATTGAATTACTTTTCTTTAAATCTGACAAATGCATCGTATTTCTT